>NC_000009.12:63968447-64135013 GCF_000001405.40 Homo sapiens | reverse complement strand
GAATTCAGAATTAAGTCTGATTTATAAAAATTTGAAATCATAATTATGTTAGTATTAATATAATCTGGTCATATAAAAAGTAATAGAATCCATTCATAATTTGAAAAAGTGATCAATGAACAATGTAGCTTAAGACCAATTCAAAAGTATCACATAATTTCTAAATCACAATTTTTTCCTATGCCAACTGGTCTTAATCATCAAATGACTCCATAATGAGAATCATTACTCTGAAAGATTGATTTTCTTATAACAATAATGGAAATTTAAATATTTAAAAGAAAAAACAGATGCCATTTTTTTCTACAACTCTACAAAGCAGATTGCTACAAGAGAGGCAGAGGAAACACTATATATATATATATCTCTCTCCAAAATATAATTTGCAGTGAACTAAATGAAAGCACATTACAGGTAAACTTACCTGATTTAAACAAGTAACCTGTAAATGGATTTCTTTTAATTTTTCTACTGCCTGCATTGCCCTTTCATCTAGCTCTGATTTATATTCTTGTAGTTTACTAAGTTCTACCATACTGTTTTCCATATGTGTCTTAAGATTTAATATTTCTTCTTCCAACATCTTTTGATTCTCCTCAAGTTTTTCACATTCTTGTTGTACTTTTTTCATAGATAATAACTCCTGTTGGATAACTTGATTGTCTTTAGACAAATTGACACATTTTGAAGATACAGCTTCCTCCTCTGCCATAAGATCATCAAACTGCATAAATAAAATAGTATAGCTTGATAATGAAGTAGGTTGAGAATAATCTAATACAAAACCAATAGCAAATTTTAAAATGCATTTACTTGCAATAAAATGTTATCAGTAATGCACCAGATTCTTCAAATGTGAACCCTTAAATTACTCAGAATTTTAAGAACAATGTTAAAGCTACCATGAGTCATAAAAATATATTCTTTACTATCATCATCTTTGCCACAGAACTTTTGTACTTCATCTTACTTTTATTTTTCTGATAATTTATTTTTGTTCCTCCTTAAATGGCACAAAGTTATCTCCTAGTAAAAAGTGTCTAATCCCCTTCCCTCATTATCATTCCCCACAATATGTCAAAAAAACTTTCAGAGATATCATATTGAGTTATTTAGGCCAAAGTCAATACATGGCTCTAGGAATAAGACTTTGAAAATAATATTACACTCTATACTAGGCATGGTGGCTCATGACGGTAATCCCAGCACTTTAAAAAGCTGTGGCAGAAAGATCACTTGAGGCCAGGAATTTGAGATCAGCCAGAGCAACATAATGAGACCCCCATCTCTAGAAAAAAAAATTTTTTTTAATTACCCGGGCATGGTGGCTCATGCCTGTAGACCCAGCTAGTTGGGATACTGAGGCAAAAGGATGGTTTGTACCAGAGTTCAGGGCTGCAGTGAATTATTATCACTGCACTTCTGCCTGGATGACAGAAAAGGATCCTATCTCAAAAAAACACAAAATAATGAATTCTATAATTAAGGATTCTGATGTCATAAGCCCTTCCTTAAACTGCAAATGTTTTATGCTAATTTGAATTGCATTTTAAGAAGTAATGATTCTTGGGGTAAAGGCCATAGAATATGGCACCCAGAAATAAATCCACATATATCCAGCCAACTGATTTTGGACGAACATGCCAAGAACATACGTTGGAGAAAGGACAGCCTCTTCAAATGAATGGCACTGGGAAAACTAAATATCCATATGGAGAAGAATGATACTAGCTTCCTATGTAACACCATATAACAACATAAACTCAGAATCGATTGAAGACTGAAATGTAAGGCCGAAAACTATCAAACCACTATAAGTAAATATAGGGAAAATGCTTGAGGACATTAGTCTGCACAAAGATTTTTATGGGTAAGACATGAGAAGCATAGGCAAACAACAAATCATAGATAAATGGTACTATATTAAGCTAAAGAGCTTCTGTCAGGCAAACAACTGAGTGAAAAGAAAACCTGCAGAATGGGAGAAAATATTGTCAAGCTATTCATCTAATAAGGGACTAATATACAAAATATACAAAAAAACTCAAACAACTTCACAGTAAAAAAAAAAATCTGAGTTTAAAATTGGGCAAAATATCTAACCATACTTTTCTTTAGAAAAAGAAATACAAATAGCCAATAAATAAATTTTAAAATGCTCAGTATCACTAATCCTCAGGGAAATACAAATCAAATCTACAATGTGATATAATCTCGCTTCAATTTGAATAAATTGCTATCATTGAAAAGACAAAAAAAATAACAAATGCTGGTGAGGCTCCAGAGAACAGTAAACACTTACATGCTGTTGGTGGGAAGGTAAATTAGTGCAGCCACTATAGAGAACAACATGAGGTTTTCTCAAAAAACTAATAATGGGACTGCCGAGGGATCTAGCAACCACACTACTGGGTATTCAGGCAATAGAAAAGAAAACAATAGATCAAAAAGATACCTGTCCTCATATGTGTACTGTAGCACTATTCACAACAGCTTGTGTATGGAATCAACCTACATGTCCATCACCAAATGAATGGACGAAAAACTGTGGCACACAAACACAATGGAATACTATTCACCGTATAAAGGAATTAAATCCTGCTATTTGTGGCCACATGGATCAGTCTGAGGGATGTTATGTTAAGTGCAGACACAGAAAGATAAATACTGCACATTCTTACTCATGTGTGGGAGCTAAAGGAAAATTGAGGGCTGGGCAATATGGCTGATGCCTGTAATTTCCTAGCACTTTGTAAGACCAAGGCAGGAGAATCATTTGAGGCCAAAAGTTCCAGAGAACCCTGGGCAACATAGGGAGATATCTCCAGAAAGTAAAAAATCAGACAGGTGCAATAATGCATGCCCATAATCCCAGCTCTTCAGGAGGCTGAGGTGTGAGGATCACATGAGCCCAAGAATTTGAGGCTGCAGTGAACTATGATCAAACCACTGTCTCCAGTCTGGGTGACTACAGTTGCCCAGAGCCCAGACTACACTAGCAAGACCCTGTCTCTTAACAACAAAAAAAAGCTCATAGAAGTAGGGGAGGGGAGGCTGGTTAATGGATACAGAATTATTGTATATTTTTAAAAAGCCAGAAGATTTTGAATGTTCACAATTCAAAGAAATGAAAAATGGTTGAAGTAGTAAATGTGCTAGTTAGCTTGATCATTACACACTATATACATGTATAAAAATATCACTCTATAGCCCATAATTATGTATATATGTGTCAATTAAAACAAGAGAAGCTACATTCATCCCATTTAAAAAACAGAATATGGGCCAGCCTTACTGACTTCCTTCTAATGAGTAGAATGTAGTGAAAGGGATACCATGTGGCTTCCCTATTTCAGACTGTTTTCCCTTGGAACCCAGCTCCAATTGTGAGAGCCATCAGGCCACAAAGAGAGCCTGAAAGTGCCTGTGTCAGTGTTCATGCTGCTGTCCCAACCAAGTTTACAGCCGCTGGCCAGCATCAACCATCAAACATGTGGGAGAGCAAAGCTTCAGAGGATTCCATTTCCCCAACTGATCAGCTATTCCTAGGGAAGCTGAAGGGAGCAGAGACAAGCTGTCCTGGCCAAGTTTTTCCCAAACCACTGGTTCATGAACAAAATAAATGTTTTTCTTTCAAGCCACAAGACTCTGGGTAATTGTTAGAAAAATAACTTTTAAAAAGAGACAACAGGAAACATAACTTATGCAGCAGAAAAGTCTCCTTTAAAGTAGGATCTAATAAATGTTGAGATTTATTTATTGATGTCAAACATTATTGAGAAGCAGCAGATAACCAGGAGAGAGACATAAGCTGCTGAGGAGGAAATTTTCCTAAAACTCCTTCAATTATGGACTCTGATAACAAGGCAAGTGTGTCTCTTTACAATTTCCCCTCAAGTTAGGAAATAAGACTGGGAAGCAAGAAGATGTATGATTTGAAAAACAACTAGAAATACTTGGTGACATAGCCCAAATCAGACATTTACCTGATTTCAATTAACTAAAATTCTAAAAGAAGGAGTTTTGAGTATTTATTAATCAACCTAGTATTCAATTTTCATTTTCTTTTCTAAATGAGGAAATAAGGAGAACATTATGGAATGATTTTTAGTCTTCACAGAAGTAAAATAAGCATAGTGTGTTTTGAGTGTTAAGACTTCAAATGCAATTTCTCCTTTACCTTACTCCAAGCTTGTTTCTATGGAGAAGTAAAGACCATCTCTTCTCTGTTATGCCACAATGCTTCTCTATAGCACACAACTTGGCTCTGAAATTTTGAAAGTCAAAATACTAATCTACTATGTGTCTCTGATAAATTGCCTGAACGTTACCTGATTTTGAAGTGCTGCACTCCTAAGACTTTTTCTTGGAATGAGTTAAACGTTTTATTCTAAGAATCCTCTACTGAGCTAGAAAGCAGAGCTGTGCATCTCTGTTTCAATAAAACGAGATCAATACAGGGAACTGTGGTTTCTGAGAATGCAAGATCTGCACCAAGAAAAGGATTAGCCACAGTGCTACCCAAGAGAACCAGCTGCCAGATGGAAAGAGGGTCTGTAAACTGCAAGATGATGACTTCACTTGATTTCCACTGAGGAAAGCTGGCGGCTCAGACTTAAACTTCTCCTTCCTAGATGGTAAACATCTATGGAAGGTTCTATAAATTATAATGAGTAAGTAAAACATAATACACTAAATATTAGACTATGTCAGCAGATCCTGTGACCAAAACTTACTGAAAATATAACTATAGTGGGAGGCAATGTAAAAGAGACTAAAGGTTTGAATGGAGAAAAAAAGAAATTAAGTGTGTCTTGCAAGCCTGGCTTCTGACCATGTCTTAGAGGAAGTAAGGTATAAGCTGGCAAGAGACTCCTTTGTGACACAAAAGGTGAAGTTACAGATATTCCACTAAATTTAATTTTTATTATGACATAAGACAACTGGTAATATGCAACATGATTGAAGAAAACTTCTCATTCAATTTGATTTGGCCTTGACATAAGAATAGACATAAACAAGCTAAGAATTGATAACCTAAAAATAAGCCTGCACATTTACAGTCAATTGATTTTATAAAAGCTTAACAAAAGAACAAAATGGGAAAAGAACAGTCTTTTCAACAAATGGTGCTGGGACAACTAGGTATCCATATGCAAAAAATAAAGTTTGACCAAATATCTTATTTAAAAATTAATTCAAAATAAAACAGTTAACTCTAACAGCTAAAACTATAAAAACCCCAGAAGAAAACACTGGCATAAATCTTTGTGACTGCATTTGGCAGTGTTTTCTTAGCTATGACTCCAAAGGAAAAATGGATTCAATGGACTTCAATATTGAAAACTGCTGTGCCTGGGAAGACAGCACCAAGAAGTGAAAAGGTAAGATGCCAAGTAGAAGAAAGTATTTGAAAAGCGTATATCTGATAAGGGACTTTCATATATAGGAAATATAAATAACTCTTGCAATTAATAAACAACAAGATAACCCAATTTTAAAAAATGGGCAAAGATTTTGAATAGATATATCTGCAAAGAAGATATAAAGATGGATAAGCACATTAATAGATACTTAATGTAATTAGTCATTAGGAAAATGTAAATCAAAACCATATGTGGTATCACTTCACACCACAGGATAAAATCTTTGTTCAAGAAAAAAGAGTAAGTGTTAGAAAAAATGTAAAGAAATTAAAACCCTTATCTAATGCTGCTGGGAATGTAAAGTGATGCAGCCACTTTGGAAAACAAACTGGCAGCTTCTTAAAAGGTTAAGCATGAAGTTACCATATGACCCAGAAATTCCAGTCATAAGTATACGCTCCAGAAAAATAAAAACATACGCAAGCACAAAAACTCATACATAAATGTTTACAGCAGCATTATTAATAGGAGTCAAAAAGTGGAAAGAACAATAACGTGTATCACCTTTGGGTGGGAGAGAACCCAAAGTTCCATCACCTGGCCAATGGATAAATAAAATGTTTGATATATCCATACAATGGAATATTACTCAGCAATAAGAAGAAATTAAGTACAGATACTCTATTAGGAGGAGACAGCAAAATGCCTAGGCAGAAACGGAAGGGTCCGTGGAGAATCTCCAACCAGCCCCACAAGTGTTTACACCAGATGTTATGTGCAGATGAGGGAACCTGGACTTGTCTTGCCTGGACACGCCCGCAGCAGACTGGAGGCCCACATGCACTAGGGGAATGGGGTGGAGTCACCAGGAATTCACGCCTTATGCAGAGGAGGAGCCTGGCCGCTTCAGCTCATGTGCTTCTGGTATTCAATTTTGAGGTGGAAACCTGTTTGCAGGACCCCTCTGTTTGCTGAGAGCTTTCCTTTCACATAATAAATTCTGTCCTCTTCAATGTGTCTGCATGCTTAATTTTTCCTGGTCATGAGAGAAGAACCCAGGTGTAGCTGAACTAAGGAGCAAAAAACCAGCATCAATACCTGCTACAGCACAGATGCAGCATGAAAAATTATGCTAAGTGAAATAAGCCAGTCACAGCAGACCACTTGCTTTTTATTTCAGAGGCTTATAGGCGAATGTATACAAAGAAGGTGGGTGGTTCCCTAGGGCTGAAGGAAGACGGGAAAACTAGTGAAGATGGCTAAATGATGTGGGGTTTGTTTTTAGGGTGATGAAAATGTTCTAAAATTGATTGTAATGATGACTGCATAACTCTCTGAAAATATTAAAGTTAATGAATTGTATATTTTAAATGAGTGAATTACATGGTATGTTCATTATTTCTCAGTAAACCTATTACCACCCACCCCAAATTAATTTGGTACTAGTGATTTTCGTACTAGTGATCTGGAGACAGGTACTGCTTGGTTTCAGATCACTGGGCAGGGTTCAAGGCCTAAGAGAATCAACAGCATGTCCTTTTTATAGAAAAAGAGATTTATATTTTAAAAGCTATCCTTTTCATTAGTATCAAGTCTGTAAAATTAAATGAAAAATCTTTCTTTCACTGCTTGAAGCACGGACAGATTTATAATGAGGAATAAGACCTTGTTTTCTTTGGCCCCAATTTCTATCTAAAGGGTCTGGGAATCACACCCTTCAAACTATCAAATCTCATCAGATGGGTTTTATTAACTCTTATTATGTGGCTTCCTTTCTAACCTGATTCTGGTGCAGTATCACAAAGAAGCTGAAGGAAATCAAAATATTTTACCCCTAAATATTTTTTGACATATTTTGAAATGGCTGCTGCAGGGCCAAGATATTGAAATGGCCCTCATTAATGTAGCCCAATCTCTCCCCTTCTAGGTCTTCCCAGATCTGGGGAAGATTAACTAAGAGCCTGAGGCATTTAAAGTCTGAAAAGATATATTTACCCTCTATTTTCTCAACATATTTTGGCAGAATTTGGGTTTTTCCATTATCAATATTTTCCAAAATTACGTGATTTTTAATACAAAAACTGATTTAAAATTACCATACGTTGGAATATAAATTATTCTATTATAAGGATACATACATTTGTATGTTCATTGCAGCACTATTCACAATAGTAAAGACATGGAATCAACCCAGATGTCCATCAGTGATAGATGGGATAAAGAAAATGTGGTATATATACACCATGGAATACTATGGAGCCATAAAAATTAATGAAATCATGCTCTGCAGGAATATGGATGAACCCAAAGCTGATCTCTTCAGCAAACTAATGCAGGAAGAAAAAACCAAACACTGCATCTTCTCACTTATAAGTGGGAGCTGAACGATGAGAACACGCGGACTCGGGGAGGGGAACAACAAACACTGGGGCCTGTTGGGGTCAGGAGGGAGAGCATCAAGATCAATAACTAATGCCTGCAGGGCTTAATATCTAGGTGATGGATTGATAGGTGCAGCAAACCATCATGGAACACGTTTAACTATATAAGAAACCTGCATGTCTCACACATGTAATCTAGACCTTAAGATAAAATATTTTTTAATTACCTTCTGTTTTAGCTTCTTAATCAGAATATCCATTTTTAGTTGATCTGTTTTTAAGTCTTCATGGCAAACAAAGTCTTCATTTCCAAATACATTTAACATATTTATTGTCATTTCCAGGAGTTTCTTATATTTGCAGAAATGTACAGAATTAGTAAGTCAAGTATTTTTAAGAGTAAATATTTAATCATTGTTTAAACATATATTATGTTATGGCATATCAAAGAAACAAATCTATGCACTATGTTCCTTTCAGTTTCAACTGAACATAGTTTGAAAGCATTCTATATGAAATTATAATCTTAGGTAAATAATATGAAGACCAATTTTATGGCATATATGGCAGGTAAAGTAATATTAAAACCATACAGTGTTTTTGTTTTGTTTTGAGATGGAATTTCACTCTTCTTACCCAGGCCAAAGTGCAGTGGTGTGATCTCAGCTCACTGCAACCTCTGCCTCCTGGATTCAAGTGATCCACCTGTCTCAGCCTCCCAAGTAGCTGGGATTACAGGTGTGTACCACCATGCCTGGCTCATTTTGTATTTTTAGTAGAGATGGGGTTTCACTGGTCAGACTGGTCTTGAACTCTTGACCTCAAATGATCCACCCACATTGGCCTCCCAAAGTGCTGGGATTACAGGTGTGAGCCACCACACCTGGCCTAACCATACACTTTTTGTAAATAAACTACTCATATCCATGTTGGTATACTAGGTAAAATAACCTATTACTAAATATAAGCCATAACCCACAGATGAGTAACCAAGATAAAAAAGTAAAACACATACATTTGAAAAAGACACAAAAATACACTTTGATACCCATTGACCACAGTCTATCAGAAGAAAAAAAAGTACACACACAAAGCATCAAGGAGATCATTCAATGTAGAAAAAGAGAAGAAAACATCTTTAATATCTGAGTTGAGGAGAAAAAGGAAACAGGCAGTTTTAGAAAAAAGGAAAGGGGCAGAGAGATGTGAGACGATATAAAGACTTTGAAGAAGAGATCTAGACATCTTTGCTGACATAATGTCAACAAAATGAAAGAGATACAAAACCATGTAGAGAAAGGCAATGACAGAAAGCTGTTGATTAGAATCTGAAAACCAAATTAAGTGCTCAGTAAATAAATAGAAAAGTAGCTGTGTTCAAGGCTTCAAAGACAGATTCCATTGTTTTAAAAAAAAACGTGTGATCAAAACTTGAATGTTCATTTTTCTTTTTCTTCAAGTTATACATATATTTTATATATATGAAATTTATTTATGTAAAACAAGTTTAACGTGTATACTTCATGTATACAAAAGAGGTACTCATGTACAATGAGTAAATTTCCATGATATGTTTTATAACTAAAAGAAAAAGAAGCAGAAACAAAATATAAGCTACATATCAAGATAAATTTGATGTTAAAGAATGACACAAACAGGTCTTCTTTAAAGAATTTGAATGCAGCAGAGGATACTACAAAAGGAAGAAAAAATGACCACAGACAGCAAAAAATATCTTCAGAAATAAAAATTCAAACTAAATAATGAAGAGTGCACTGGACATTATATGTCCGAGGCTTGGTTATTGTTTTCAAAATCATTAAAGAATAAGTGGCTGGGCATGGTGGCTCACGTCGCTTTGGGAGGCCGAGGTGGGCAGGTCACGTGGTCAGGAATTCGAGACCAGCCTGACCAACCTGGCAAAACCCCGTCTCTAGTAAAAATACAAAAATTAGCCGGGCGTGGTGGCACATGCCTGTAATGCCAGCTACTCAGGAGGCTGAGGCAGGAAAATTGCTTGGAGGCATAGGTTGCAGTGAGCGAAGACTGTGCCATTGCACTCCAGCCTGGGAAACAGAGCCAGACTCTTTCTCAAAAAAAAAAAAAAAAAAAAGCATATTTTGGCATTCAAAAAAAATTTCACCTTGCCCCAGCAGCTCAGCTGACTCCTGACCCCCTGACACACATGTCTAAAAAGTTGTGTTGTGAGTTTCTGAAATACATTTTAAAATAGAATTAATTTAATTATGAAAATGTAAACTTAAAATGAATTTGTATCTAGGTTTTAGTCAAGTAAAATTAGAGTTAAGCCAATTAATAAGTGGTTAACATGTTCTACAATATGAAAACCATACCCAGTTGCCTCTTCTTATAATTCATGACTTTTCTTTCTTATTCGATCCACATTATACTCCAGTGATAATATTAACTCAAAAAGTTTTCTTAATTCTTCATTTTTTTCTTCAGGCTTCAAAAAAGTGTTTAAAATTATTTTTGTAAAATCTAGAGTCCCTCTTTTATCTCAAAAATATTATTTCTCATAAGTGGATGAGTAATATGTATTTAGGCAGGTATATAAAGTGCATTTTATAAACCTGATGCCAATAAGGGCAGATTTCAAAAACAGTCACTTTTCTTAAAACTGCTAAAAATGATTCAAATTTTCATCATTAACTTATCTGAAATTTAAACTGCTAAAATCTTTGTTACAAATGAAGGTTTTTACACACAAAATACTAAGGGTTAGTAAAAAAAAGAGTAGTTATATTTACATTTTAGTTTTTAAAGATGCTTTAGAAACATTGTCTTTAATAGTTTAAGATATTCCAAGAAGTTTTCTTAAATTACATCTTACTAAGACAATTTTTAGAAAACTCTTATCTAGTTCCCATTACATTTTTGATCCTCATCTGTCTTCAGGCTGAGCTAAATACTGTCATTCTAAGTATTCGCCCATAGGTTTCAGTTTTTCCCTTTCTCTTAACCATTTCTCTTTAAATAAAGTTTATTTTTTCTATAATCAACAAAAACAACTTTTGTCTACTTTTTGTGGCTTTTCTAATATCCTGTTTCTCCCCTTCCATTGGACTCTATGACACATGATCTCATTCAGAAATCCATTTTTCATCACTTATTGTGTTTTTTATTCTGAAATCTGATTTTTAATAATTCCAATATAGAAGTCCAAGGGTCATGGAGGACTTTATCCTGCTTTGCTCAGCAGAGCAGTGACCAAATGCTCCCTCTGCTCCTCTGACCCCGCTTCCTTTCTAAATGCAGTGACCTCTGTTCTTCAGCCCTATCCCTTTCTATTCCTCTGACCCTACTTCATTTCTAAATGCAGCAACCTCTGTTCTTCAGCCCTATCTCTTTCTATTCCTGACTCGGCTTCATTTATAAATGCAGCGACCTCTATTCTTCAGCCCTATCCCTTTCTATTCCTCTGACCCCCTTCCTTTCTAAATGCAGCAACATCTGTTCTTTACCCTATCCCTTCCTATTCCTCTGATCCTGCTTCATTTCTAAATTTAGCAACCTCTGTTCTTTAGTCCTATCCTTTTCTGTTTTTTTGTTTTGTTTTGTTTTCGTTTTTTGTTTTGAGATGGAGTCTCCCACTGTCACCCAGTCTGGAGTGCAGTGGCATGATCTCAGCTCAATGCAACCTCCACCTCGTGTGTTCAAGCGATTCTCCTGCCTCAGCCTCCCAAGTAGCTAGGATTACAGGTATGTGTTACCAAGCCCAGCTAATTTTTTGTATTTTTAGTAGAGACGGGGTTTCACTATGTTGGCCAGACTGGTCTTGAACTCCTGACCTCATGATCTTCCTGCCTTGGCCTCCCAAAGTGCTGGGATTACAGGTGTGGCCACCACGCCTGGTGGCTATTTCTCTTTTTAAATTCTCTCAGGACTCCTAAAATCTCAAAACTTTGACCTAGATTCCCTAATCTACATTTCCAGCTCTGACCATTTTCTTGAGGTCTCTTCCTTCTAACATACATATTATAGACAATATTCTCAACCACATGCTCATACATTGCTAATTGGTGCAGATTACTTTTGTAGATAGTGAATGTTGTCTATTTTATGTTGGTTCTCATTAATGTTACTTTGAGTATACTGTTATTTTCTAATCTCAAAGGGGGACTATCTCACTGTGATGATAGTAAACAATATACTTTGTCCTTTTTTTCTTGCCTTCTTCTTTTTTGGACCAGTATACTTTGTCCCTTTTTTGTTTTTCTTTTTTTCTTTTTTTTGAGATGGAGTCACACTGTGTCATCTAGCCTGGAGTGCAGTGGCACCATCTCGGCTTACTGCAACTCCCACCTCCTGGGTTCAAGTGATTCTCCTGCCTCGGCCTCCCAAGTAGCTGGGACTACAGGTGCACACCACCACACCTGGCTAATTTTTGTATTTTCAGTAGAGACAGGGTTTCACCATGTTGGCCAGGCTGTTTTTGAACTTCTGACCTCAGGTAATCCACCCACCTCAGCCTCCCAAACTGTTGGGATTACAGACGTGAGCCACGGCAACCAGCACTCTTTTTCTTTTATGATGAAAACTTTCCCATGAGAATCAGATTATCACTTGTTTGCCTTTGTTTTCTTTTAGAGAAATTCCTTTTCATAGAGATATGGCACGATGAAATTCTTGTTCTAAAGTTTCTTTTGGGGAACACTTAACTATGTCATTGGGAAGCTTCAGTAAGTAGAGATCTCCCTTCTTCCCACTCCAGATTCTTCATCTCAAAATGGTGTCCACCAAATGTCTTAATCTAGGTAGTCTCTTGTTTAGAAATTCATGAAATAAGAACCTTCTCGAGAAGTTGGAGGTTATTGATTGAGATGGTTTAAAGCTGCCCCTTATTATATGTTTTACTCCCAAGGTAGACACCAAAGTGGCTAATAACTCTATGATTGATGCCTAACTCACTTCTATGGGAATCTATACAAAACGTTTGATTTATGAGACAGAGTCTCCCTCTGTTACCCAGGCTGGAGTGCAGTGGCTTGATCACCATTCACTACAGCCTCAATATTCCAAGCTCAAACGACCCTCCTACCACAGCCTCCCAGTGTAGCTGGGACTACAGGCATGCCCCACCATGCCTCAGCTAAGTGTTTAAATTTTTTTTTTTTTTTTTTTTTTTTTAGAGACAGGGTCTCACTATATTGTTCTGGCTGGTCTCAAACTCATGGGCTCAAGCGATCCTCCTGCCGCAGCATTCCCAAACCTGGTGTTTAACTGGGGACTAACATGAAGCACTTAGAAGACTACATAGAACATAGTGAGCTACATAAAATATTTGCTATTAGCATAATAATTTTATTATATATCTTAACAAAATTGTGTATGTTAGGCAGGTGGCATGCCAATGGAAGTACTCTCCTATAGCTGCTCTGAATCATTCTTACCACTGAGAGTTGCAGCAAATGGGGGACATAATTTATAACTTACTTTTCTTTCTGTATGACTCATTTGGCAATGACTATATATGTACTACAATGTAAACAGCACCTCCTGGATTGAATAGTACATAACTGACATGACCAGCAAAGACAGGCTAAAGACACTGAGCTGAAAACCCTGGACTCTATTGCTAAATCAAGGCTCCTGAATCCTTTCCCTCTGAGCAACTGTTTCTGTGGTGTTGCCTTCACAAGCACTCTGCTGAGCACTGAGAGTGAGGGGCTGTGCTATCCTTCATCAGAGAAGCTGCAGCCAGAACTGTTCAGCTGACAAACTGGTAGCAGTCCAGAAACACAGTTCTGCTGCATAGTGAAAAAAGGCTGATTTAGATTCTTTTTCATAGAGAGAAAAACATAAACATGTGATTGAACGCGTCTCCTGTATTAGACTAATTGGTTTAGATTTGATATTTAATTACTAACATTACACTTAGTATATAAACCTTACTGTGTCAAGGTCTCAAAGAAGAAATAATTGGTATGGTACAAAGTATTGAATTGTATGCTACAAACTTCTAAGCTAAAATATTTTCAATGTATGCAAGGATAGGTGGCATACATATTATATATTATTCCCCCATTAAGCAAATTTATAATGAGAGAAAATTATCTTCCATAAAAAAATAAAAGCCATGTAAAATTAAGGACTAAGTTTTTCTGCACAGACTAGACAACGATTGCTAACACATAAGGTCAATGAGAGAACAGTCAGAGAAAGCTTCATGAAAACAATAAATTGCCACGTCTGAGTGAATGAGGCTAGATGAACAGAAACTGAGAAGGCAGAAAGAATAGCATGAGCAAGACAAGTGCTGAAATCTGCCCAATTAACTCTGAGGATAAAGTCCAATGACAGAGAAATAAAAACCCGTGTCCACATAATAACCTGTAAGTGAATGTTCGCAGCAGCATTTTTCATAAGAGCTAAAAAGTGGAAACTAACCTAAAGGTCCATCAACCGATGAATGAATGGAAAACCAGTATAGCCATGGAATAGAATATCATTTAACTATAAGAAGAAATAAACTACCAATGTGTACTAAAATATGCATGAATTCTGAAAACACTATGCTAAGTGAAAAAGCCAGTCACAAAGGACTACATATTGTATAACTCTATGTATATGAAATATGCAGAACAGGCAAACATATGGAGACAAAAGTAGATAGATGGTGGTTGCCTACAACAGGCGTAGGTGGAGGGACATGGAGGAAGGCTGCAGTCATGCCTAGGAGATGTGGGGTTGCTTTTCAGGGTGATGAAAATGCTGTGAATATACTAATAGATACTGAGTTGTACATTTTAAATGGTTGAACTCTCTGAAATGTGAATGATATCTCAGTGAAACTGTTTTGAAAATCCAAAGGCAGGATCAAGATAATTTTCTCAACTCTCAATTTTTGATGTACATGCTATATCAAATCTAAATATTTCTAGAGTTTTATAGTATATTTTAAATAAAAGATAAATAAAGAAAATGCCTAAATTTTCAAATAGTTTGTAAATTAACCTAAAACATGCACATTTCAAAGAATGGTATAATGGCCTTTCTGTACAAGTTAACCTACAATCTGTGAAATAAATAGACACAGATTCAGTGTCCATTCACAAAAGTGAAGAAACAAGACAATTTTCTGGAACTTTCCATGAAACATTTTCCTCTGATTTTATCTGGCCTGCCTCATCAGAGCAATACAAATTTACCTAAAAATACTGTTTTAACAGGAAAAAAGTCAGTTTTCTATGAGGAATGATGTATAATTCTCAACTTTTCCAAGGGTACATATTGTAACAGAAAAGGTATGCAATGGTTTTTCAAAATGGTAGAATGAAAGTCACAATATAAAAAAAATAATAAGTACATTATAAAGATAGTAAAATGGAAATAATTCTTTGTAATGAAACTAAAAAATCAAGCTTCTGCCAAAATTAGTATCCTAAAACACGTTATATAATTCAACTAGATACAGAATAAGAGTTGACATGTTAAATTCCATACATACTTGACTTTTCACTTGAAATAATTTCTTCTTTGGGGCCTGTGTCTCATCCAAATTAATGTGATAATGTGATATACCTTCCAGTGGAGACTCTAACATAGTTAATTTTTTTAGGCTGTCAGCTGCTTCTTGTTGAAGTTGTCTCACAACTACCTGAGAAAATATTTTTGTTACTGATTTTATAAATTGCCTTATTATTAAATTATGTTAATAATATTTAACTCTAACATACCAACTTTGAAAATTATCACCACACATATCAATTCACCTTCTTTTAATCACATGTACACATTTTTATTTATTACTGAATTCAGTGAGGGATGCAGAATATGTTCTCTTCCTGCCAAATTGTTATTCTCTTACTTACACAACAGATTCATCCCACCATTCAATCACCTTAGAAGCTCAACTCAACCTCAAAGTTCCTGACATATTCAATCACCTGTTCAAATCCTTCCAACAGATTCCTATCTCAGAATAAAAGTAAAATTCCAATGGCCTTTGAGGCCCTAGGTAAACAGGCCTCTACCTCCCTCTCTGACTTCAAAGCTCCTACAACTCCCACCTGTAATTATTCCATTCCCACTGTACTTGAAGCCTGCCACCCCTCAGCCTGAAAATGGGGATCTAATGCCTAACTCATAAATCACAGGCAGCTACAAGTATCTTTGTACTGAACAAAATTATATTCCAATGATACTCATTGAGCCTCACAATAAAAATTATGAGCTAATTATTAACATAGTCAAAGTAAACAATAAATACCAGTGGGAAGACTAAACCAAATATACTTTGGCGAATTATTACCACATTTATCCTAAATTATGATTTTATGACAAGTAGGTGCCTTTAAAACATTACGTAGTCTTAAAAATACGTAATTTGACATATTTTAAAATTTTTTAAATTAATATGAATAATAACAAAGATATACCAACAAAAATACATAAAAAGCTACTTAAAGCAAGGTATTACAAGACACAGCAATACACTTCAGTTCATCTGGGAAATCTAGAATTAAGTGTCAAAGAAAATCACTTAATTAAATTTTAATTTGAAAATACTCATTTCAGGTGTAAACATTTCCATTCATACCTACATTATGGTCTTAACATGTGGCAACATAAAGTCATTAAAATTATTATTTCAGCAGTACAGAACTATCTACCTTAAAATATGACTCTGTGCCTAATAAAATTTCATAGGTGACACAATGTCTTTTCTCAAAGTAAATCATCTCTCACCTCTACCTTTTATTTCCTAGAAATGAGGCATGTTTCTAAGCTGATATAGTAAACACATTTTTCCTTTTTTTATTAAAACAGCTTTGTTGAAATATAGTTTACATACTATAGAATGTATCTGTTTTAACTTAAAGTTAAAAGATTTTTAGTCCATTTACTGAGTTGTGCAGCCATCTCTACAATCCAGCTTTACAGCATTTCCATCACTGCAAGATCCCTCACGCCCATTAGCAGTCACTACCAGCTTCCAGTCCCAGCCCTTTGCAAACATTAATCTACTTTTTGTCCCTATACGTTTATCTTTTCTGGATGCTTCATGTAAATGCAATTATACAGTATGGTAAACACACTTTTTAATCTATTGATTTTTATATTCAACTAAGTTCAACATGTATCCAGAACCAAATGTTTAAATTTTCTTTCTAGAAGTTTGAAAATATTTATCTTCCTTGATACTTACTACTCTTTCTGCTTTCTCTCTCTCATATTGAAAGAGACTTTCTTTTAAATGATCACATTCATTCATTAGCTTCTTATTTTTCTCTTCTAGCACGAGGTCTTTCCACTCTCAATAAAGCCTCTTTGGATATTAGTTACTATCTCTTTATGATACTCTTTCTGATGAACATCATCTAGTTGCTGTTCAATGCACGGATTTTCATGTTGGAATTGACATATCCTCTCTTCTACACAGCTCCACTTTCCAGTGGAATTACCCACTTTAGCTTCTGCATTTTGATACATCTCTTTCATTTCCTTTATTTGCTGCTGTGTTTGGCTTAGGTCGTTTTGTACAGTTTCTGAAGCCAATGACTTTTTTCTGAGAGTATCTCTTGTCTTACGGAACTTATCTTTTAAGGTATTGAATTTATTTTGTGTTTTAGAAAGTTGTTCAGTAAGAAACTCATTCTTATCTTCTACTTCGGAAATATCAGAACTCATTTTTACTTGTACGGAAACATCTTGCGTTCTCTCTAAAGCAAGTTTTAGGTTTCTTTCTGTTTTCACACTTTCACTGTGTTTACTTATAGTAGCAGCCAGTCTAGACTGATAAGATTCAGTTTCAGCTTCCAGTCTTTTGTTGCTTTCTTCTTCCTTCAACAGTTCGGAATTGAGCCTTGTATTCTCAGCTTTGACATCATTAAGCTCTTGTTGATACCAGAATGCTGTTTTTGTTATCAATTCCTCATTGAGTTTTATATACTTTACAAGGGCAGCATTTGTTTTTCTAACAATTTTAACGTCCTTAAGATATTTATTTTCTTTTCCCGGTTGTCATTTTTCATTGAGCATATTTCCTGTCTGAGTATAGAAATATCTGTCTTCAAAATGCAATTTTCATCCATCAGATCTTTCATTTCTTCATGATTATGAAAATCCTAAATAAAACAAAAGAAAGTTTTAGCTAGTACTCAATAAAATAACATATCATGATTACCTCTGAAGTTAAAGAATAACCTGCACATCCATACACTAAAAAGGTTACTGTAAGTGAATATCCAACTGGAGAAAAAGTTGAAGCAAAACTTTGAACCTTATAGAGCATAAATTACAAAAAGTTCAGAAATTTATTTAAAGTCAATGAATTTATAAAAGTAAACACACACACACACACTAGAGAATTTTTAAGAATTTCAGAATTGGAAAAGCCTTTCCCTGAATTACAACAAACTGAAAAGCATAAATTAAAGCATTAACAAATTTGACTAAATTAAAATATATCAAAAAATTGCACTTACACTTTGATATCTAACCCATACACCACCCTACAGTAAGAACCTTAGTTCACACGTATTTGGACAGATAAAATTTCCCAGAGGAGTTATTACAGTTCTGTTTCACTGATAACATTCTATTTCAATTTGACTCTTTTAACACTTTTATAGTCAGTTGTAAGAATTACATTTACTAAATCATAAATCTAGACCTTATACTAGTCACTCCTATATACATTCATTGATGAACTCATCTAGTTACCACAATTTTGAAAAAGAAATGTTAAAAATATAAGCAAGCTACAGGATTTTCCCCAGGACTTCTGACTCTACTTCTAGTTCTCTGACAGATCACAGTTACTTCTGTGGTGTAAATATATCAATACGAAAGAAAACTTTTATTTCAAAACACCAATGGTAAATAAGATAAAATTTATAGAGCTCTTCTTAGAATATCATGAGATTATTTGTGATTGCAATAATTTGTTTCCTCTTTATAGTATTAGGTACAGTAATCAATATGAAATAGGGGGAAGTACAAGGAACAATTTTACTGGGAACAAAATCTTTATCAATAGGTTATCACTAAGGATATATTATGTCACATTATTGTTTTCAAAAGCTCTTTGTAATAAAATAATATCCTATGTGGATACCAAGATTTATAATAAATAGTAATAATTGTACCTGTAATTGTCATCATTCATTTTTTAAAAATGAGATAACATTTCTGCTTTTAGACCTAAATATTGTATATTAAATCAAGAGGATATTATAAGTAACTTGATAAAATAAAGTTTAAAATATAGAATTTTTACCAAAGATTGATTTACCTGATTTGGAGTATTTCTTGCAGTCTTCGGTTTCATCTCTAGTGATTGAACAGTTGGTTCAAGTTGTTTGCTTCAACTTCTTTCTTATATTTTTTCTCTTTCCTTTCTAATTCTTCTCTATTTTTGTACAGCATATTAACATTTGTTTTTTCTTCATTTTCTTGTCTTAAGATGCATCTGCAGATAAAGACATTTATCTTAAAATTCATTTGTTAAAAAATAAAGAGATCATCCTGTGATCTACCTCTGCAGATGCTCTTTATCATCCTAATAAAATTTCTATGTTCTGGATTATTTTTCCTTTGTAGTTCTCAGATATTTAATTTCTCACTTCAACATCTTCAAACTAATGCATATACTTGAAAAATAGTAAGGAAAGAATATTCTGCTAAAGTTTTTATTACTAGTCACTCTAGTATGTATTATAAAAAAGGATACTGGAAATAATTCAGTATAGTTAGAAGTTCAAAATTACCTTTTCAAATCACACAGTCATAATTACTACCTGATTAGAAAAGGTCATTTACAATCAACTAAATTTTTAAAGTTACTATTTATTGACAAGCGTATAAGTTCACTAGAAATAAATTTTCATCTCTATGAAATATTGCAGGTGTCTCTTCAAATGATTTACAGAGTAAGATGTATCTCATACAAACTATATCTGCAGATGATTGTCATCTAAAACTAGGCTAAAGAGTCTAACATCTGTTACCCCACACTTTTTCTAATTCTTTCTTAATACTTCCAATTCACCTTCTTATTACATATATTTTATATATTTATTAAGCTATTGTTCATTATGTGTAATATATAATTAATGCCCTTAATAAGTGTGTGTATGTTTACACAAGTTATGTTTTCCTGTGAAATCTAGTCCCAGAAGTGGAGTTGTTGAGTTAAAGGGATGTCAGGTTATTTGAAATTTTGATAAACAGCACTAAGTTACCCTTCAGAAATAATTTACCAATTTCATATACAAACAGTGTATGAGAGTGCCTTTTTCCTCACATTTTCAATGGTAGGAATTACTTTTTCAATATCAGCATGACTTTACAAAATATATGTTATTTTATGTTAATTTTCATTTTTCTGATTACCAGGCAGGGCTAAATATCCCTGGTAAAACTATAAAACTTGTTAATAATAATGAACATTAGTCCAATTTTGAATTAGTTTATAGCACAATGACAATTATTTACTGAGAAATACTGCTATAGATGGCCAGGCATGGTGGCTCACTCCTGTAAACCCAGCAGTTTGGGAGGCCGAATTGGGCAGAACACCTGAGGTCAGGAGTTCGAGACAAGCCTGGATAACATGGTGAAACCTCATTTCTACTAAAAATACAAAAAATTAGCTGGGCATGGTGACACATGCCTGTAATCTCAGCTACTAGGGAGGCTGAGTCAGGAGAATCACTTGAATCCAGTATGCATAGGGTGCAGTGAGGTGAGAACACACCATTGCACTCCAGCTTGGGCAACAAGAGAGAAACTCCATTTCAAAAAAAAAAAAAAAAAAAAAACACTGCTATAGGCTTACTTACCTATCGTGCTCTTCCTTCAGTTTCTTGGGAAATTGCTGAGGATACATTTTCCCAATCTTTCTTTGTTTGGTTAATCTGTCAGCAGCAGCAGAAGATGTACTATGACATACATTTTCTGATAGTTGTATTTTTTCACTTTTATTTGTATTATTTCCTTCTTTGACCTTTAATAAAAGTAATATGAATAATAATTATTATTTTATTCAATAAAAAAAACCTTTTTCCCTGATTTTTTCACTTGATTCAGGTTAACTATCACCATTTTAATGATAAAAGTATTTTGTGCTTACTTTAATTTTATCATTATACATAATAATTATAAGATACTCATCATTTTGTCATTGAAATTTTTGTCAAGTCTGCTCATTTCTGTTTGAGTGAATGGAAGAATTTTCCAAAATTTCAAAAAGGACTCTTCTCCATTTTGTGCTTTTATTCGCATCCACTCTTTGCTATCTGATATAAATGTTTATGCTATCTGACTGGCAGAAACAGAGAAATAAAAAGACACAGGCATAACATATATCTTCTGTCATTGCCACCTGGATTTTACATGAAATAGCCAGATTAAGAGGATGTGACCTTGTAGGGCTTCAGGAACAGTAAAGAAATTTTCCCTTTTCTGCACTGAGCTATTCTTTTCCCCACTGTCTTTTATCTCTTTTTTTTTTTTTTTTTGAATCCTGGGATATCAAAAAAGTGAAAGTTCTCCCTGAACTATGGGAACCAATGTTTGCCACAACACAAGAAGCAGAGTGAAACTGCTGAGTTTCTAGTGCAGAATTCTGGAAAACGAGATGCTTCCCAGACTTCACATTCAATTACCACAAACGTTTATAGGTGGAAAACATACGGTACAGTTATCTACTTTAGCCCCATTATCTACTGAAAATGGGAGTCAAACCAACCAAGACATATGAAATGTTTCATCCAGAGCTCTTGAGGTGGCATTCCCTAGCATTTCATGACACCAAATAACATGATACAATTCCATATTGCTGAATTACATAAATTACCAGATAAATTTATCAAATTAGTCAGATATGTTAAAAGTCTAACTTGAGCAAAGCAATTTAACACCTCAGAGGGTGGAAAAAGGCCTCATCTGCTTTTACTTTGAAAGAAGAAAATCTCTAGAATTTTGTCTATCTTTAGAACACAATGTACAGAACTCAGCTTTCTACTAAAGAGTCAAAGGTTAAATTTTTAGCTAAGAAATTATGCTTCTTACATGATAAAAATCATACATGCCAAAACTTACCATACTTTATTAAACAACATAATGTAAGGTCTGATTCAACAGAAATATTGGAGTGGTGATTTTTTAAAATATGTGGAAGTATATATTTGTTTTCAAAATATTGGAAATAACCATGATGGAACTATAAATTCAAACAGTTTGAGCTAAGCAGATAAACTTGCATGCATGAAAACACATTAAACAGACTCATTTGGCTGGGAATATTCATTGCAACTCTCAAGGCTAGACGTGTATTTGTGGCTCATCTCAGTCATTGCTTCCCTCTCATTGTACTCCCATTCTATCATTAAATAAATGTAATTCATCTCTAAATAAATACAGAAAAAAGAATCTAGAATCTAAAGCTTATTTCTTTAGCAATTTCTTTATGTTGATCTGGTTCAGAAGGTCACATGGTATATGGCTGAATTAGTTTCCCAGCTCATATGCCACTTGGAAGACTGAGAGTGAGACTTAGGTTGATTAATGAAGAAACATTATGAGAACATTCTCCAGAACCGTTGTTTAGATAGCAGGACTAATCTACTTTGACACATAATTACACATTTAGAAAACCCCGCTGTAACTGTACACATGAGATTTTCTTGAATAGAAAATTTGACTAAATCAAATAATTGATAAAGAGAAAAAAGAAGCAGCAAGTGAACCTCTGTCTTTTTGAAGTTGGATTTTCTCTTTCTCCAAAGCCAGGAACTCTACTTGTAACATGCCTACCTCATTCTTTTTACTATTATTATACTTTAAGTTCTGGTACATGTGCACAATGTGCAGGTTTGTTACATATGTATACATGTGCTATGTTAGTGCCCTTGGAATATCTTGCTGTAAGTCTTCTAGCTATATTTTTGATGTTCTCTCACTATGTGGCAAAGAATAACCCGCATTTTATAATTCAAGATTCATGCTTTTGTAGTTATTAACACTGGGATTGTCATACAGTGGCTTCTGGAATAAGCACTGTGTTGGTTTTCTGTTTTTATAAGTATCTGTAGCAGCAGAAATACTGTGGCTTTCTATCTGAATCATATGCTTCATTTCTTTGGGGTGGGTAAACCACAAATCAAAAAGACTTTCTGGATCTCTAGACTGAGACCAATGCCTAATGTCTAATTTCCAATTAGTGGTATTTGGGTTTATATATTTTTCCATGTGCATGTCAAACTCTTAATCACCTTTCATTTCAATCATAATTACTGGGTTCCTTACTTTTTCAGTTTCTATATCATAACAAAAATTTTCATCATCTGTGTTAGAAACAAGCTATGTGTCTGGTTTGTTATCATTTTTATAGTCTGATTTATTTTAATTTAAATGAAGCTTAGAAGATGACTGGTAAGTGTATTTCACGGACCTGGAGTGTGAATGGAATAAAAAGGCATTTGACATGGGCTTCCTCTGTTCAGGCACTGCCTGGACTGCCACAGAGCTAGACCCTCCAGACACATTTTTCTCCTCACAATCAGGGACATGATTCATCAGATTAGAGGGCACTCCTTTTTTGTTCATCCTTCTTTAGAGTTACTATGTAGGAGCTCTTCCTCAGGGCAAGCAGTAATTTTGGAGTTTTCAGAACTTTTACCAATATTCAGCTTGAACTTGTTTGTAATGAATTTTAAAGAAAGTCATGAATATATAGATAAATTCCCTTTATCACAATTCTTACCCTGTTCTGGTTCTTGAGACTTTTTTTTTTTTTTTGGCAGGTGCAAAATGGAAAACAAATTTGCTTGTTTTGTTTCTCAGATATCTTTTCTGTCAGAGTGCATGTTTTAAAATTAGCTTTAATCAAGTATAAACAAAGAAATATTAGAAAATAATTAAAATTTAACTGCGAAACTTAATCTATGTGTTGCTACTCTTAAATTATGGGATTGTAACTAAAAAGTGAAAAATAATTTGCCTTGGCTTAACATAGGACAGAAACATGAACCAGCAAGCTGAACTCTCAGTGTCTGTTTGGACTAAACTTAATGCATTTGTGTAAAATCTACCAGAAATGAATTCAAAGATGATAGGTAGTATTATAAAAGCTTCCTCTCTTACAAAGACTTTACCTCAGCATATCAGAAAGAGTAAGCCCCTACAGTGCATGTTTATTTCTGAAGATGAACTAGAGCACTCGGCAAACACTAAATTATTAAGAGCTAAACTGAACACTAATAAGAAAGAGAAGCAAACTTTTAAATTCTAATTCAAATGATATACTATGATAGTGTTATGTATCTAGATAGAATTTCTGCTTATATCCACTTCTAATATATTTTAAGTTCCAATAGTGACAGGGTTTGGATTTTTTAAATTTTAGTAATATTTACTATGTATTTATGTGGAAATACAGTTATTGTTCACACCCTGACACCAAAGGTCCCATTCTGCAAGGTAGGATTCTCTTAGTAGGCAACTGCATTGACTTTTATGACCCCATTCACTGCCTGAACACAGACAGAGAAGTCAACTGGTGACCACGAAAGAGAATAAATCTTTAACCTCGGCACTGGTGAACAGCAATATAAAACTGCACCATTTGAAGCACTGGCAATGATGACTCCTTTAACACTAGTTTAACTCAGTGGCCATTGTGGTTAAACTGTTCATAATTTCTATTCCTCAGTAATATGACCCAGTACTTCATGTTACCTTGTGTATTATGAGTAAGTTTATACAAATAAAACAGCAAGATAATTCTGAAAATTTCTTGCCTCAATTCCAAGGGTAAAGATAGCTATGAGTTACTAGAGATACTAAGAATTACTAGAATAACTAATAGTTACTAGAGATAGTAAGAATATCTTAAGTTTCATAAATTGTTAAAATGTTTTAAAAATTAAATATAAAATTATGATCTATTGGATTCTAAAGCTATAGTCTAAAAGGTGATGTCATTTGGACTATGCTTTGTTAGTAAAGCAAAAAAAAAAAACATAATATTAAACAAGAACTTAAATTTTCATATACCTGTGGTTGCTTCTTTTCACTTCTTTCACACCTTTCTTGCTCTTCCTGTAAAGCCACTGGTAAGGTTTGTTCTGTTGACAAATTCATTGATTTAGTTCAAATGAACTAAGAAGAGTTAGATAAAGACTATAATCTTTATAAAAATAAATAGAGATAACATTTCTTTGTATTTTATATTTTGAGAGTTTGAATGAAACAATGTTTACTGAAATATTTACTTCTGTAAGAAATACTTCTAATTATCCAAAACTTCAGCAAACCACTTGGGGAGACACTAGATATCACCAGATTCAAGCCATGCAAAATCACAGGGTCACTCACAAATTGTTCCACCCAACATAAGTCAACAAAACTGTTGGAAACAAAACAGAAATTTGAAATACAGTCAAAATATACAATGTAATGCTTTACTATACTTCATAACAGTATCTTTTTAACAAGACACTGAGTTGGCAGTTACTAATAATTTGCAAAATTATTGTTCTTTATACCTCAATTAGTGTGCACCCCATTTTTTACATCACAAATGTTTTCCCCTGCTTTCTGAAAAATTTATTTTCATCTTTTAAGACTCAGAAAGTAGGCTGGGCATAATAGCTCACATCTGTAATCCCAGCACTTTGAAAGGCCAAAATGGGAGAATTGCTCAAGGCCAAGAGTTTAAGACAAGCCTGGGAACCATAGGTAACCTTGACTCTACAAAAAATTAGACAGGTATGGTGATATGTTCCTGTTGTCCCAGCTACTCAAGAAGCTTAGGTGAGAAGATCCCTCAAGCCCAGGAGTCTGAGGTTTCAGTGAGTCTCAATCATGCCATTGCACTCCATCCTGGGTGATAGAGTAAGAACTTGTCTCCAAAAAGAGGAAAAAAATAAAGGCTCAGAATGCTATGTGAAATCTTCCTTGATTCTAGCTATCTTTCTCCACACACACAGGTGTCTGCTTCGTTGGGGTCCCTTAGTACCTTGTCAATTTTTCTAGTGTCACTTTACCACCTGAACTGCACATCATGTCTTTACATGTTGACCCCCTTTGCTGCTAGACTGTAGAGGACAATCTTTTGAATCATCTTTGTATAAACAGTCTTAATTTTGCTAAATAATTAGTTATTGAGTTCCTGCTAAGTGTTAGGCACTGGGGTAAAAGGAAGGAAAATAGAAGCTGTCAGGGATGGCTTTCCTAAAGATCATGCATGAGCTGAGACTTAGAGAGAGAGGTTAGCCAGATTAAGCGAGGCAGAGGGCAGGAAAGGGTGAGCACATGCCAGGAAGCAACAAGAGAGGAAGAGAAGCCTCCAAGAGAGTATGTATTTCTCTGCAGAAGAGGAATGGTGAGGGGGCCATTACCAGCAGCTCAGTAATTCCAGAGAAAAAGGCAGATGGGGAAAGGGATACAGATGGAGATTTGGGCAGAAATCAGTTTTCTTTTCTTTTCTTTTTTGGGACAAGGTCATACTCTGTCTCCCAGACTGGAGGGCAGTGGCATGATCTCAGCTCACTGCAACCCAGCCTCCCAGGTTCAAGTAATTCTCCTGCCTCAGCCTCCTGAGTAGCTGAGATTACAAGCGTGTGCCACTACCGCCTGCTAATTTTTGTATTTTATTAGAGTTGGGGTTTCACCTTGTTGGCCAGGCTGGTCTTGAACTCCTGACCTCAAATGATCCACTTGCCTCAGCCTCCCAAAGTGCTGGGATCACAGACATGAGCCACCATGCCCAACCCAGAAGTCAGTTTCTGAAATCCTTATATAAACCTTTAAGATGCTTAGACATTAGGTATTCAAGAGTGGTTCACGGATCTATTTGCATTAAGGATAATTTACTCTAAATACTGTGAGGAGCATAAAATTCTGAGGCATATAAATCAATGAACAAAGATAAAATATAAGGCAATGTTGCAAAGATGATGCAGGCCTGAAGAGATGTTTTCAGAAATATTTAGGATATAGGTATCAGTGGCCATTATAAGAATGAATTTCTATTGAATGAATAAATGTATATATCTGGGTCCCTGGAGAAATACACTCTGCTCATTACTTTACAAATTTTATCAAATGAGAAGTAAAATAATATACATAAACTCTTTCAGTTACTTGTATTTACTTTACACTTTTTCTGTTTCAGTTTTACTGTGCCAAGGAAATGCATTTGGGTTTTGTGGTGGTTGTGGTGGTTGTGGTGGTTGTTGTTGTTTGAGATGGAGTCTCACTCTTCCTGCCCAGTCTGAAGTGCAGTGGTGTGATCTCAGCTCATGGCAACCTCTGCCTCCTGGGTTCAAGCGATTCTACTGCCTCAGCCTCCCAAGTAGCTGGAATTACAGGCATGTGCCACCATGAACAGCTAATTTTGTGTTTTTAGTAGAGATGGGTTTCTCCATGTTGGTCAGGCTGGTCTCAAACTCCCAACCTCAGGTTATCTGCCCGCCTCAGCCTCCCAAAGTGCTGGGATTACAGGCACTAGCCACCGCACCCAGCAACATATGGGGATTTTGTTTTAAAAGTTCTGTTTCCTGGATCTGCCAAGCTCATGAGAAAATATAGCAAACATAAGAAACTTTGGATTTATAGCTTGTCCTCACTACTCTAGAAGATTATCATCATGTTTTGCAAAACAAAATGTTAAACACAGACATAAGGGGAAAAAGAAATTAAAACTATAGGGGTGGGTGAAAAAATATTGCATAATTTATTACTGTTGACCTCATCATATGACTGATTAAGGGCACTGAATTTAACTTGGATGTGAAGTAGACCCCATATTAGCTGCAGTTGATCAGTAGACCAGGCTTCCTAGCAGAATTAAATTTGATGCTCCTGTGTTATCTTTAAATGACACAGCTTTTCTAAAAATGCATACTCATAGCGCATGATTATCCATTAAGACAAGGTGATGGAATGTGTGAATACAGCTGAGAAGGCACCACAAGGCAAATGCTCAATGGTTCCCATTAATATTGGGAAAATCAACACTATAAAACAGAAAGCCATAGGCATTATTTAATATTTGGTTTTGGAAGGTATTTTTAGTGACACTGCATACAGTTGTACCTAATAATTGCAAAATTATAGATGTAAAAATAAAGCAAAGACACATTGTGTTTGAGTAGGAAATCTGTAGATGTCTAGCCGGTTTTCCCATCCAGCCCCAAAATTCTAAATATAATCATGGTACCCACACTCAAATTTATGTTAAATACCAATCTCAATGAAATCACTATTTCTCCTCATTCTCTTTGTTATTTATATGTTGCTTTCCTTAAGGAAAGAATACAAATGCCTTGCTAAGAAGCATTCTGTTTGGTTGTAGGCTGCATAAGGGGAGTAAACACAAAGTACTTTTGACCACAAAATGACTTTTTAAAAGTCAGAACTATGGTAACATGAAGCCAAACAAGGTAATCTAGAATAAAATTTTCTATGCTTCTTTCCCTTCTTTGCTCTCTTTCTACTCTAATAACTGCGATTCACACAGGTAATGAAGAGTATAATTCCCTGATAAAACACAGCTCCAAGATTAATCCTTTCTTTAAATATGAAGTTCACGTGTCCAAAATCTGTAGTAGTTGCTGTCTGATTTTTGATCACTGATGGTGATACAGATATTTATCATCAACTCACAACTTCCCAAATCTTTGAAAAGTCTTACTATTGATGGTTCAACTAGTAGAAACATAATGTAAAATATCTGAAAATAAAGTTTTTATTTATTAGAATGTAAATAATAATACAAATTTTAATAAGGTGTAAAAGTTATTTCTTCACTGAAGCAGTACCATGTTGTCCTCTACCCCACAAATGCACTACTCCCACATAGTCTAATATATTTTAAAAGTCCTGTAATTGCCATTAACTCAGACAAGTTTACTTAACTTGTTCTAAGCTTCTGTTATCTACTACAATTTACTTTCAATCACTCAACCATCTCTATTATATATGTTGTTTTCCATGAGAAATTTTTTTATTAGTAATTAAGATTCTCCAGGGATAAGAAAATATTTGAATAACTAAGTTTGTGCATAAACACATTAAGGTAAAATACCCATGACATTATTGTCTGTTTCTGTGTACTAGAGACAAAAACTTCAAAAAAAATTTTAATGAATATATGTTAAATTAAAAACTGCTTTCATTAAACTGAGATAATCTTCCCTCAATGCATGAATACCTTCAGAATTCACATAGACCAAAGAATTGTATAAAATATAATAGCCTTAAAAATCTTATTTGTAGCTGGCACAGTGGCTTTCACCTGTAATCCCAGCACATTGGCAAGCCGAGGTGGGCAGATCACCTGAGGTCAGGAGTTCGAGAGCAGCCTGGCCAACATGGTGAAACCCCATCTCTACTAAAAATAGAAAAATTAACAGGGTATGGTAGCACGTGCATGTAGTATAAGCTACTCGAGGGGCTGAGGCAGGAGAATTGCTTGAACCCGAGAGACAGAGGTGGTAATGAGCCAAGACTGAGCCAATGCACTCCAGCCTTGGTGACAGAGCAAGACTCTGTCTCAAAAACACAAACAAACAAGTAAAAAATGTAATTGTTCCCATATAAGTCTAAGTTCACACAAGATCTGAAGAGTACACAACACCGTGAGACAGGACAGACATATATTTTAAAAGTTATATTCCTGGTTTCTGTAAAAATAAAACAGTTGAATTTAAGCTTTTAAGACAAGTCAAGGAAAAGATCAAAAAAGGCAAAAGTGAAACTTGAAAGGTCATTTCCCCATCAAGGGCTCATGATCACTGGACATTCACAAACTATATTGTTCAAAACATTAGTTCTGAATTTTGATCCGAGTAACCATGGAGTTGCAGTTTCATTCAAGGATGTCCAAGAGGTCAAATAAGACAATATCAATTGCTACTTTCAGTTTTCTTTTCTGAGAACAGCACAGCATTCTTCTTCAGAGAAATGAATTGTCCTAACTTCATAGGCTAAAGGCTCATGAGTCATAGTTCTAAGGGCATTTATAAAATATGGTGGTGCATGCTTGTATTCTGAACTTTTCAGCTTTAAACTCTCATATAGTAAATGCTAATAGATACAAACTGATTAAAGAAAAGCCCTCTTAATCTGACATTATTTTTATTTATCTTTCTTCATTTATCAGCAACAGGAGAGTCTAACTAAATGTGGTAAAGTGGTATAAGGGAATACAATGAACAGTGTAAAATGAATTAAACCAGAGATAATCATATCAATGTGGATACATGTGGAAAATATAATACAAGATACGCCAAAGAAAGTGGCAGAATGGTATGTAAAGTGTATAACCACTCACATATCATTTTAGGACACAAAAAATTCTGCATATTATTTCTGAGCATTACAATATAGTTAAAGATTTTGAAAGGGCATTGAAATGAAAAACAACCAACTTATGGTGTTGGTAGCTTCTATGCAATCATGTTTTAAAAACTTTAACACCAAAAAGGCTCAAAATCACCATTTTAAAAGACTGTGTCTACCAGTCATAAATGAATCATTACTTTCGTCATTTGTAATAGTCAAAGATGCCACAAACACACACATACACGCACCTATATATACACCTACACACACAGTCTTGCTCATTAGAACATCTGATTGGCTTCAGATCATCAGTATAATAACACTAGCAGCAAGCCTCTGAAGTTAAAACAGAAACTGACATGTTAATAAGTAAAGCTTTCCTCTAGGTAAAGATCAGAACTCCAACTAACAGTTAACTCTGGAAATATCTTAAGAGTCTCAAAATTCACTGCTTTGAATCCCTGACAAGTATGAAAATTTTATACTGAAAACTTCATGCTATTCAAAACATTAAAACAGAAACATCTGAGTTAAAGCTTATATTTTTAAAATATTTTCTATGCTTCTAAATTTGTTTTTATTCAAATATGGATACCAACAATAACATTTATGTCAATGCCTTCCATTCAATTTTGAACAAATAGAATTAGGAATAAGAATAATATGAGTACATCCAATCATTGAATGTACTTATTTCCAGTATTCCATTAAATGTACCTGCTCTCAATGTCTGTACATTCTTTCTTTGTACTGCTCCTTTCACAGCAGGATCTTCCACTTCAGTGCTAGGCTGAATGGGTTTTAAAAGAAAATGATTCATAAATCATATATATTTTATACAACATGGAGTTAGTGATTCAAAAATTAATTAATTACCTTCAAGGAAGGATGTTTTGCAGGAGGCCTTACAAAGCAAAGGGGATATGTCATCAATTATATGTAAGCATGACAGGGCCAACCAAACATTCATGCAGTGTTACTATCGAGCTGAATTCTAATGCCTGGCTATAAAAATAATTACTTAAGGTTTTGAGCTTTCTTCTTGGCTTCTTCTTTTCATTGCCTAGGACAGCAACATGACAGAAACACAATGAGGAAAATAGGAAAATAGGATTCCTAAAATGCACAGTTTATATTTCAGTAGTGAGATTATGTTTCAAATGCCTATACCTAAAATAGAAAAGCATGGATATCACTGTGAACACATGGACTGATGAGGAGAAAAGGGACCATTAAACAGAGGAGAAAATCAAACCTGACAGAATCAATGTCAAAGCTGATGGTGAATGTACAGAGTATTTTACCTCGGCACACCAGAGGCATTGCTGCCAGCACAGCACAAATAAATTCCCCTTGTCTTGTCACTGAGGAAATACACAGTTGGGATGAGAGTTCAGGTGAATATGTGATTCACCTCTCATCAAAGAAAGTGTTCTATATTGATCAGCTAGGATACACACTTATGAAATAACAGCTAATCAAACTACTCATTTTTCCCATGATCACATGGGCTACTGCAAAACCTACATTTCTCCTATCCCCTCATTTGGCCTTGAATTAGAGCTCCTTGATCCACTCATGCAAGGTGGTCCATAAAACACATCAAATAAACCATGTTGAATAAGCTTCCAATATCAAAATATTTATCAAAAAAGAAAACACTGAATGACCACAGACTTACTGGATATGAATACATATTTATAATTCAAAATCAGTGCAGTATTTATTGAAAATGAGAATTTTGGTATTCACAGAATGAATTTTATGATTGCTTCTAAAATTAACTAAGTTTGGTATATTATCTTACACTGTAAAGGACTTTTATAAAACAGTTATCATATCAAAGAACTGGCTGTCTCAAAAAAAATTAGCCAAAACATCTATATGCAACTTAATCACATCTTATTCACTTATGTCAGTGAAACTTCTCTCTCTGAGGCCTGACAGTTATCAAGTGAAATGAGCTGCTGTGGTTGACCCCAACTCTAGCACTCCCTCCTGCTTCCAGTACTCTCCACAGCAATAACCTCTTTTGTGAGACTGGGCATATGCTGAAGCAACTGGAAGTGAGTTGTCTCAAGTTTACTTGGCTTTAACTTCCAACACCCCAGCAAATGTCTTTCTTTCCTCCTTCTGTGTCCTTTCACAATCCCTCTTCCTTTGAAAAAGCGATTTTTAGAACTGTCTTTCTGATGCTTCCCTTCCTAACTGCTTTTTATGGATAATTGTTACCACTTTTTTCATCTGCATTCAGCAGTAGTATGCACTTGTAATCTCTCTTTTTTCATCTCATTTTCCTTCCCCTGTGGCTAGAATCATGCTCAGAAGTAAAAGGAAATTAAAGCTTTCCCTGGATTCTGTTATTTTTTAAATTGCTCTCCAGTGGTTCTTTTTCCAGATGTCTCTAAAGGAAGGCTATTCCCCTGCTATTCAGAGCTGTGTCCAAGGACCAGCACCAACATCACCTGAGTGCTCATGAGAAATGCAGACTCCCATACCTGCTGAGTCAGAATGTGCACTTTCCAGAAGTTCCTCAACGAATTCATGACAATTTGAATGCCCTGTTCTACACTGATGTGCTTCCATATTGGTTTACCCTTATTGGCCTTTTTGGCCTAGCCTCAATTTCTTCCCTATTATGTACCTGAATTTAATACTACATTATAAGCCATAATGTTTCTAATGAACTTTTAATCAGGCAATACTTTCTTTAATTAATTTATTCTCCATAAATCACCCAAAACTATTCTTTTCAATTATGTTAATATGATACTATCCTATGCAGTTACATTTTCTATAATAACAAATTATAGCCATCCATGGCTGACCATTTACAGTGATGTTCATCTATGGTAGAAAACACACAGGTCTGTGTGGTAAATTACCTCAATCCTTAATGCCTCCCCAGTAGTGAGGATGACAGCAAGAGAAGGAAAATGTTACTGTAATTATATGACACATTTTGGTACTGGAAGCTCATTTTATCTTCCTTCCTATTTCTTTTTTTTTTTTTTTTGGAATTTTTTTTTTATTGATCATTCTTGGATGTTTCTCGCAGAGGGGGATTTGGCAGGGTCATAGGACAATAGTGGAGGGAAGGTCAGCAGATAAACAAGTGAACAAATGTCTCTGGTTTTCCTAGGCAGAGGACCCTGCAGCCTTCCGCAGTGTTTGTGTCCCTGGGTACTTGAGATTAGGGAGTGGTGATGACTCTTAACGAGTCTGCTGCCTTCAAGTATCTGTTTAACAAAGCACATCTTGCACTGCCCTTAATCCATTTAACCCTGAGTGGACACAGCACATGTTTCAGAGAGCACAGGGTTGGGGGTAAGGTCATATATCAACAGCATCCCAAGGCAGAAGAGTTTTTCTTAGTACAGAACAAAATGAGGTCTCCCATGTCTACCTCTCTCCACACAGACACAGCAACAATCTGACTTCTCTATCCTTTCCCCACCTTTCCCCCTTTTCTATTCCGCAAAACCGCCATGGTCATCATGGCCCGTTCTCAATGAGCTGTTGGTTACACCTCCCAGACGGGGTGGTGGCCGGGCAGAGGGGCTCCTCACTTCCCAGAAGGGGTGGCCGGGCAGAGGCGCCCCCCACCTCCTGGACGGGGCGGCGGCCGGGCGGAGGCGAGACCCCCACCTCCCTCCCGGACGGGGCGGCTGGCCGGGTGGGGGCTGACCCCCCACCTCCCTCCCGGATGGGGTGGCTGCCAGGCGGAGACGCTCCTCACTTCCCAGACGGGGTGGCTGCCGGGCGGAAGGGCTCCTCACTTCTCAGATGGGGCGGCTGCCGGGCGGAGGGGCTCCTCACTTCTCAGACGGGGCGGCTGCCCAGCGGAGGGGCTCCTCACTTCTCAGACGGGGCGGCTGCCGGGCGGAGGGGCTCCTCACTTCTCAGACGGGGCGGCTGCCCAGCGGAGGGGCTCCTCACTTCTCAGACGGGGTCGTGGCCAGGCAGAGGCGCTCACATCCTAGACGGGGCGGCAGGTAGAGGCGCTCCCCGCATCTCAGACGATGGGCAGCCGGGCAGAGACACTCCTCACTTCCTAGACAGGATGGCGGCCGGGAAGAGGCGCTCCTCACTTCCCAGACTGGGCAGCCGGGCAGAGGGGCTCCTCACATCCCAGATGATGGGCGGCCAGACAGAGACGCTCCTCACTTCCAAGACAGGGTGGCGGCCGGGCAAAGGCTGCAATCTCGGCACTTTGGGAGGCCAAGGCAGGTGGCTGGGAGGTGGAGGTTGTAGCTAGCCGAGATCACACCACTGCACTCCAGCCTGGGCAACATTGATCACTGAGTGAATGAAACTCCGTCTGCAATCCCGGCACCTCGGGAGGCCCAGGCTGGTGGATCACTCGTGGTTAGGAGCTGGAGACCAGCCCGGCCAACACAGCAAAACCCCATCTCCACCAAAAAAATACGAAAACCAGTCAGGCGTGGCGGCGCGCCTGCAATCGCAGGCACTCAGCAGGCTGAGGCAGGAGAATCAGGCAGGGAGGTTGCAGTGAGCCGAGATGGCGGCAGTACAGTCCAGCTTTGGCTCGGCATCAGAGGGAGACCGTGGAAAGAGAGGGAGAGGGAGACCGTGGGGAGAGGGAGAGGGAGACCATGGGGAGAGGTGGAAAGAGAGGGAGAGGGAGACCATGGGGAGAGGGAGAGGGAGAGGAGGAGGGAGAGGGAGAGGCAGAGGCAGAGGGAGAGCCTTCCTTCCTATTTCTAACACCCTGTTCTTCCTTCTTCTACAGATCAATTTGACTTTACTACCCTCCATTACATACATCCGTGTTTTTTTAATTTATTCCATATACACGCTGCCCTCCTCATTGTTTCTTTCTCTTTTATTCATTTCCTCTTCCCTCTCTCCTGACTTGCCTCAGGTCTTAGAGTATCTTAAAATGGAACTCATAACTCAGCTCCTTTAGTGGTACTCCCAATAGAATCAACTGCTGACCCTTGGTTAGAGACACAACTTATCACCATTTCATTTCTCCTTTACTTATTATACAGTTAATAGGACATTTTCTTTATACAGTTAATAGGACATTTTCTTTAGCTATTAGACTCTATTAGTGCTCATATTTTCAAAGAAACATTCCATCAAATGACTTTTTTTTTTGAGATGGAGTCTCACTCTGTCACCCAGGCTGGAGTGCAGTGGCAGGATCTCTGCTCACTGCAAGCTCCACCTCCCAGGTTCACACCATCCTCCTGCCTCAGCCTCCCAAGTAGCTGGTACTACAGGCACCCGCCACCATGCCCGGCTAATTTTTTGTGTTTTTCGTAGAGATGGGGTTTCACCATGTTAGCCAGGATGGTCTCGATCTCCTGACCTCATGATCCGCCCACCTCGGCCTCCCAAAGTGCTGGGATTACAGGTGTGAGCCACTGCGCCAGGCCTCCATCAAATGACTTTTTAAATAAAATACGGTTCTCACCTTCTCCTTTTCCATTGACTATTCTGTTTCCTTTTTCATGGGAAGGTCTACATAAAGGCTCTGACACTTTCTCGGGGACACACTGCTAAGGTAATATCAAGAATTAGTTTCCATTTTAAAATTATGATGAGTTGCATCAAGAGTTTCTTATCAATCTCTTTTTATGAAACTGAGTCTCACTCTGTCAACCCAGGGCTAGAATGCAGGGGCCTGATTATGGCTCACTGTGGTCTCGAACTGCTGACCTCAAGCAATCTTCCCACCTCAACTTCCTGAATAGCTGGAACTACAGGTGCATACCATCATGCCATGCTAATGTTTTTATTGTTATCTTTGTAGAGACAAGGTCTCATTATACTGCCCAGGCTGGTCTCAAGCTCCTGGGCTCAAGTAAATCTTCCACTTCTGTCTCCCAAAGTGTTGAGACAAGCAGTGTGCACCACCACACCCAGCCCTAATCAATTTCTTTAAATCAAACTCGATGTTGCCCAGGCATGGTGGCTCACACCTGTAATCTCAGCCCTTTGCAAGGCCAAGGTGGCTGGATTGCTTAAGTTCAGGAGTTTGAGACCAGCCTGGGCAACATAATGAGAACACATCTCTACACAAAAAATACCAAAAGGAATCAGGCATGATGGTGTGTGCCTGCAGTCCCAGCTGCTTGGGAAGCTGATGTGGGAGGATCACTTGAGCCTGAGAGGTGGATACTGCAGTGAGCCAAGATCATGCCACTACACTGCAGCATGGACAACAGAGCAAGACCCTGACTCCCCAAAAATTTCAATTTAAAATGTGAGAACAAAGAGGGATACAAACAAAAAACAAGCCTAATTAGTCAATGAAATATGAGCTTAAGCCAAGAAAGAAAACAAACAACATGAAGTACAATAAAGTACATAGGGAAATAGATCTATAACAGAGCCTTTGGTCTTTCATACCTGTGATAATACTAATTAATATTTATGCTGCAATTAATTAGTTTTTTGTAAGTACTTCTGTGATAGTGTTTCTTACTATAAGACATTCAATTAGCTAAATATGGTAATCTATCATTACCTGAAAGAACATTATTATAACAGAGAGAGAAAACTGGAACTTTCCATCAACTTTCCACCCAGAAAAAGAATTGGTCACCAGAATTCTAAAGAGTAATGTATGGCAGACACATGAAAAAATGCTCGTCATCACTGGCCATCAGAGAAATGCAAATTGAAACCACAATGAGATAATCATTTCACACCAGTTAGAACGGCAATCATTGAAAAGTCAGGAAACAACAGGTGCTGGAGAGGATGTGGAGAAATAGGAACACTTTTACACTGTTGGTGGGAAGCTAAACTAGTTCATCCATTGTGGAAGACAGTGTGGAGATTCCTCAAGGATCAAGAATTAGAAATACCATTTGATCCAGCCATCCCATTACTGGGTATATACCCAAAGGATTATAAATCATGCTGCTATAAAGACACATGCACACATATGTTTATTGTGGCACTATTCACAATAGCAAAGACTTGGAATCAACCCAAATGTACATCAATGATAGACTGGATTAAGAAAATGTGGCACTTAACACACCATGGAATACTATGCAGCATAAAAAAGGATGAGTTCATGTCCTTTGTAGGGACATGGATGAAGCTGGAAACCATCATTCTGAGCAAACTGTTGCAAGGACAGAAAAGCAAACACCACATGTTCTCACTCATAGGTGGGAACTGAACTATGAGAACACTTGGACACAAGATGGGGAACATCACACACCAGGGCCTCTCATGGGGTGGGGGGAGAGGGGAGGGATAGCATTAGGAGATATACTTAATATAAATGACGAGTTAATGGGTGCAGCACACCAACATGACACATGTATACATATGTAAGAAACCTGCACGTTGTGCACATGTACCCTAGAACTCAAAGTATAATAATAATAATAAGTAATGTATGGCTTGAAAAGGTATATTCAATAGAACATGAGTTGGGTCTAATAAAAAACTTAAGAAATGTTAATCTAAAATCTCAATGTTAAGATTCCAGTTAAATGATATTAGAAAATATATTGTAACCCTTTGCTACCGATGACCTAATTCTATTTTATTTCCTTTTTAATTATGGCACAATTTCTCAACATAACATATCAAAACTTATACACCCTTTAATATTAAAAAATAATACAATGTAAGCAATATTTTAAAAACAGTATTTAATTATTAGATACATTAGATTTATTATATTACTCATAACATTCCATTACATAAAAATTTATTTGTCTATTTATTCAGATTAAACAACTATTAAAGCTGAATGTCTTATGCCTGTAACCCCAGCACTTTGAGAGGCTGAGGTGAGCAGAACACTTGAGCCCAACAGTTAAAGACCAGCTTGGGCAACAAGGCAAAACCCTGTCTCTACGAAACTCAGCCGAGCATGGTGACACAGGTCTATGGTGACATAGCTCTATTGTTTCAACTACTTGGATTGCTGAGGTGTGAGGATCACCTGAGCCCAGGAAATGGAGATCGGAGTGAGCCAAGATCTCACCAGTGCCCTCCAGCCTGGGTGACAGAGTGAAACCCCATCTCAAAAAACAACAAGTAAAATGCTTCTTACATGGAAGACTGTATTCTAGGTACTCCAGCATACACAAAAATATGTTTACTGACCTCCAGTAGCTTACGGTATGCAGGAGCTTCCAATGATTATTTAAACAACTAAATAGAAAACCTTCTGACATTCAAAATTTCAGAATATGATATAAGGACTTTGAGTGGTTATTTTATTTTATTTTATTTTATTTTATTTTATTTTATTTTATTTTTTAAGATGTAGTCTTGCTCTGTCACTCAGGCTGCAGTGCAATGGTGCGATCTTGGCTCACTGCAACCTCCACCTCCTGGGTTCAAGCAATTCTCCTGCCTTGGCCTCCTGAGCAGCTGGGATTACAGGCATGCACCATCATGCCTGGTTAATTTTTGTGCTTTTTATTTTATTTTAGAGACAGGGTTTCACCATGTTGGCCAGGCTGATCTTGAACTCCTGACCTCAGGTGATCTACCCACCTTGGCCTCCAAAAGTGCTGGGATTATAGGTGTGAGCCACCATACCTGGCAAAGTAAATATTTTAAATAAACTACAATGACAAAATTATGATGATAAAGTCTTACCATACTGGTATTAAGAATCTCTGCTTCTAGAACTGGTTATTTGCAGCAAAATACATGTTATTCAATTAGATGAAGTGTTTTATATAAACTCTTCATGGACAACTCATAAACCACACAAAAATCCCTTTGCAATACAAATCTTGATAACATAAATTTAAATTTCTACATTTCCACAGTTTATATTTTTCAATCAGACACAATGTTGCCCAGGCTATTCTCAAACTCCTGGGTTCAAGCAATCTTCCCGCCTCAAACTCCCAAGTAGTGGGGACTATAGGGGTACACCACCAAACTCAGCTATTTTTCGACAATTTTTAATATTTTTTAGTCTCACTACAGAACCAATAATATAATAGAGAAACAATTTCTCCTAAAAACTATATAACACAAAAATAATAAGTTTCCAAGAACAAAAGGTATATGCTATGTGCTGAACATTTTTGCCACTAAAAATTATCAGGAAGATTCCATGATTACTGCAAATAATTTGATCCACTGAAGATTTATACAGGCATAAATATTAAGAAAGTCACACTCGTGCGATTTAAAAGTCAAAGTATTAGTATTTATCCAAATAAATCTTAACCAAATTTCATATTTCCTCTATTGGAGAAAGCATTTACTAATGTGATTTTCCTTGACTACTTATTTTCCAGTTCATTTATTTTTCAGCTCCCACCCTGTCACAGTACTTCTCAATCTCTGTTAGTTACCAAAGTTAAACACATTTTTTGAATCAACTAGTCATATGTATGTTTTTCTCTGAGCAACTTTCCATTAACACCATAAAACAATGATAGGTAAACCACTGCTAAATTTGAAAAGTAAACACATGCAAAACTACATTCAGAGTGAGAAAATTAATTTTACAAGAGACCACTTTACCTTAGTAGCAACACTCAAGACTTCATCATCCAATGCAGGCAATGAATCCACACACAGTTCATGCAAAATGCTTGAGAGCAAAAATACACAATGAAAATGAGCAAGTTGATTTCTTTACAATTTTTTTAACTGCCGTTTTATATCCAGCTTCCCCCTCAAAAAAAGGAAAACATAATCTGGAGAAAGGTTAGTGATCCATATATTAAATTATGATTCTTGATATAATTAAAATATGTCCTCTGTTCTAAAAATAGATTTTATTTACCTACTTCTGCCTCCAACTGTCTAAATCTATAAAATATTCAATGAAAACTAACCTTGAGCTTTATAACAAATAGTGACAGTCAATATATTGGCAGAGCCTGACAATACTTTGCCCTCATAAATTATCTGTCCTGAAGATGAACTTAAAATTCAATTAATGGATGACATAAATTTTGTCATCTAAACTGGAAGAAAACTGATGACCTAAAACAAGGTAGAAAGATCCACTGTGTCTTTTCCGTGATCTGTCTCTGGATAAAAGTCTAATCTGCATCACTTCAAAATGGCAGTCTTGATTCCTCAGCATGGATCCAACTTAGGAAGGTTCTATTGATTTCCTTTGCCCTAAATTTGTACAGGAAAGCCCCTACAATATATGAAAGGTATGAAAGCTAAATGTACAGAAGTCAAATAACACAGGTGTATGTTCTTATTGAGAATAATTTTCCCAGAAAGATTAAAATATTAACAATTATAAAATCCCATTATTTTCACTCTATAGGTCCTACCTTATTGAGGTCCACATAAACTAGCAAGCCCTTAAAAATTTTCATAGGCACTCAGACACCCAAGGAGAGAGACTGCCAGAAAAAAACAGAGTCCTCATAGTTGTACCTCTATTTCCCTAAGTACTATCTAAGTATCTTTCTTCCTATGGGCTCCCACTTCCAGATTCCACTTCTGCAGGGCTCCACAGAAGTCTCCAATCTTCAAAACTTCAGTCTAAGAAAGCACAGATTCCTGAAAGGATGACCTCAAATGACCAGGAGTAGGAGCTCTCTATATCCCTGCTCCTGAAAAACAAGCTAACTGGAGTCTCCATCACCTGCCCCCAGCTATACACACTACCAACAACCCAACTGAACTCCATGACTGATTTGCCACCTAATCATGCCCCTGACCCAGCCCACATGGACATGGGAAGGACATCAGTGAACTGGGAAAAGAGGTAGAGGTGAGGAGACAACTGCCCTGTGCCACACGTCTATGTAGTTCAGCAATCTCCAGCCCCTTAGTACTCCAGGGGCTCTAAGCCACCCCTTTGTAAGTCAGGATGGAAGTAGATGACACCACATTTCTATCTGCTGTAGACACTCCTTCCAGTGTCTCAAAATGTTTTAGCATCTTTCAGTAAAATCTTCAAGTTTGTCAGTCCTTGATTTTAAAAAAATCAGCAAACTTTTTCGAGCTCCCTTGAACCTTCTATTTTAATGTGCCTTTGTAGATAATTCCCAACATCTTGTGTCCTTCTTTTTATAATTCATCTTTATCAAACTTGTCATAAACCCCAATACTTTGATCTCTTATAGGAGAGTCCATACTCCTATCCAATCCAGTGTTGTTTATCTTCAAACTTGGACTTCCCCTGCTCATTCCATTCTTATCTACTTCCATTTGGTTCACCAGCTAATTCCATTCTCATTCTATCCGCAGACTCACTCCCGGTTGTATTATTAAAACACACGCCAATAGGACATAAAAAGAAGCAAGAGTACTGGGCTTTACCATGAGTTCAAATCTCATTTCTGCCAATTCCTATGTCTAAAAAAAAAGCATCCTAATCTTTTTGAGCCTCACATTCTGTATCTAGAGAATCACTTGACCAGAATGTTCAACACAGGTAAAAATACTAGAAGGTATTTTAATTCATTCCAAGATTCCTTAAAATCCTGTAATTCTATGTCCTCTTGATTCTGTCTATAGAAAAACTTGGAATACATAGCCAGCAGAGTTTGAAAAAATAATAGAACAAAAGAAACACCAAGAAAAGCAGAGAAGAAAGTTTTATAAAATGAAGACAAGATTATAGAAAAGTCATGGAAAAAGCAACAAGACTAAAAAATGTATTATGGAAGTAAGCAGAAATACTTGCCTAAATGGAAAACCAAACTGGGTAGTCAAATAATTTGTCTCTAAGACTTGCCTCAACTTGCTTTGGTAAAACTTACAGTCCTGTGGTCAAAGCTAAGTCAGATCTGCCCTAGAGCCTTTGATGGTAAAAACAAAACACTGGCTACCACTGAAATCTTCAAATTTATTAGGACTAACCACATCCTAACAATAAACTTAAATGAGAGTTCAAGGTATTTAAACTCTCATTAACTTATACATTCATCAAATTAATGAATCTGATTAATCTGATTCAGACCTATACCTTGATCCAAGGGCTGCACAGATATCTATCAATCTATGCTGAGGAGCAAGAGAAAGGATTTGGAAGGCAGGTAGGCTGATGGTCAAACTGTAGGCCAGCTACTTTGTTAACTATGGGATCATGAGGCAATTAATCAGCTCTAATCCATAGTTGTTTATTTAAAAGTAGGTTATAGGAACACAGATGTTATGATGGCTTTATGAGATGATAAATGCATAGAACATATTAGGATGTCTAGCCCAGAATACAACACTCAACAGATATTAGTTTCTTCCATCTATATTTTCTTTTTTTTTTCTTTTATTATACTTTAAGTTTTAGGGTACATGTGCACATTGTGCAGGTTAGTTACATATGTATACATGTGCCATGCTGGTGCACTGCACCCACTAACTCGTCATCCAGCACTAGGTATATCTCCCAATGCTATCCCTCCCCCCTCCCCCAACCCCACCACAGTCCCCAGAGTGTGATGTTCCCCTTCCTGTGTCCATGTGATCTCATTGTTCAATTCCCACCTATGAGTGAGACTATGCGGTGTTTGGTTTTTTGTTCTTGCGACAGTTTACTGAGAATGATGATTTCCAATTTCATCCATGTCCCTACAAAGGACATGAACTCATCATTTTTTATGGCTGCATAGTATTCCATGGTGTATATGTGCCACATTTTCTTAATCCAGTCTATCATTGTTGGACATTTGGGTTGGTTCCAAGTCTTTGCTATTGTGAATAATGCCGCAATAAACATACGAGTGCATGTGTCTTTATAGCAGCATGATTTATAGTCATTTGGGTATATATCCAGTAATGGGATGGCTGGGTCAAATGGTATTTCTAGTTCTAGATCTCTGAGGAATCGCCACACTGACTTCCACAATGGTTGAACTAGTTTACAGTCCCACCAACAATGTAAAAGTGTTTCTATTTCTCCACATCCTCTCCAGCACCTGTTGTTTCCTGACTTTTTAATGATTGCCATTCTAACTGGTGTGAGATGGTATCTCATTGTGGTTTTGATTTGCATTTCTCTGATGGCCAGTGATGATGAGCATTTTTTCATGTGTTTTTTGGCTGCATAAATGTCTTCTTTTGAGAAGTGTCTTTTCATGTCCTTCGCCCACTTTTTGATGGGGTTGTTTGTTTTTTTCTTGTAAATTTGTTTGAGTTCATTGTAGACTCTGGATATTAGCCCTTTGTCAGATGAGTAGGTTGCGAAAATTTTCTCCTATGTTCTAGGTTGCCTGTTCACTCTGATGGTAGTTACTTTTGCTGTGCAGAAGCTCTTGAGTTTAATTAGATCCCATTTGTCAATTTTGGCTTTTGTTGCCATTGCTTTTGGTGTTTTGGACATGAAGTCCTTGCCCATGCCTATGTCCTGAATGGTAATGCCTAGGTTTTCTTCTAGGGTTTTTATGGTTTTAGGTCTAACGTTTAAATCTTTAATCCATCTTGAATTGATTTTTGTATAAGGTGTAAGGAAGGGATCCAGTTTCAGCTTTCTACATATGGCTAGCCAGTTTTCCCAGCACCATTTATTAAATAGGGAATCCTTTCCCCATTTCTTGTTTTTCTCAGGTTTGTCAAGGATCAGACAGTTGTAGGTATGCGGCGTTATTTCTGAGGGCTCTGTTCTGTTCCATTGATCTATATCTCTGTTTTGGTACCAGTACCATGCTGTTTTGGTTACTGTAGCCTTGTAGTAAAGTTTGAAGTCAGGTAGTGTGATGCCTCCAGCTTTGTTCTTTTGGCTTAGGATTGACTTGGTGATGCGGGCTCTTTTTTGGTTCCATATGAACTTTAAAGTAGTTTTTTCCAATTCTGTGAAGAAAGTCATTGGTAGCTTGATGGGGATGGCATTGAATCTGTAAATTACCTTGGGCAGTATGGCCATTTTCACAATATTGATTCTTCCTACCCATGAGCATGGAAATTCTTCCATTTGTTTGTATCCTCTTTTATTTCCTTGAGCAGTGGTTTGTAGTTCTCCTTGAAGAGGTCCTTCACATCCCTTTTAAGTTGGATTCCTAGGTATTTTATTCTCTTTGAAGCAATTGTGAATGGGAGTTCACTCATGATTTGGCTCTCTGTTTGTCTGTTGTTGGTGTATAAGAATGCTTGTGATTTTTGTACATTGATTTTGTATCCTGAGACTTTGCTGAAGTGCTTATCAGCTTAAGGAGATTTTGGGCTGAGACAATGGGGTTTTCTAGATATACAATCATGTCATCTGCAAACAGGGACAATTTGACTTCCTCTTTTCCTAATTGAATACCCTTTATTTCCTTCATCTATATTTTCTTAGTTCACATAATTTTTTAAATCTATGAAATCTTACCTGACTGCAGATTCATCAGAAATTTCAACATCTATTAAAGAAGAAGGTAAAATGCATTTTAAATCAATAATAAATGTACAGAATATTAAAAGCATAAGAATGCACAGTGATGCATGCCTCTAATCCAAACTACTTGAGAGGATGAGGCAGGAGGATCACTTGAGGAGCCCAGAAGTTTGAGACCAGCTTGGGAAACATAATAAAACTCTACCTTCATAAAAAAAATTGTGCACAATTGTGTGTATGCTTTAGATCCTGTTTTTTTTGTTGTTGTTGTTGTTGTTTTTGTTTTGGTTTGGTTTGGTTATTTAAAGCATAAGACGGATGCTTTGTTACAAAGCATTCCTTTGGGAGCATGCCTGCGAACTTATTAGAATTAACATTCATCATACTTATTGATAGGTAATTAATGCAGTAAGAACTCTTCCCTTTGTATTTATTAGATGCAAAGAAGAATAAATTTATTAAAATTTGGTATCTACAAGTGAACTGCAGTATAGAAGTCATCCTAGCCAAACCCTATGAGATTGGGTAAAAATGGTATTGTTAGCAGAACAGGTGTGATGAGTCAACAGTGTCAAAGAGCATGATTTCTGGACCAAAATATGAGGGGCCATTACAGCAGAGTATACAGTAGTACCCCTTATCCACTATATGCACAGAAAGACATACTTGACAAGTTTTTCTCTGCTGTCACACCACAGCAACAATCATCAACAAAGAAGGCTTCTGTGACCAAATGTGTGGAGAGTTTTTCCCCACCAACAAACAAGCAATCATTTCTGCTGATGACACAATTCAATTCTCACACCCTATCTACAGATAACATCAGATTTAATTTAATTTATAAATTAAACTTTGTCATAGATATGTATGTATAGGGAAAAACAGCTTATGATTCAGTACTATTCATGGTTTCATGCTTCCACTGGGGGTCTTGGAATGTATCTCCCACAGTTAAGGTATAGCTACTGCACTTATTTTGTTATAACATAACACAGCCTCTCTAGTTCTTCAGTTCAAACTGTTTAGTTTAGAATAAAATGCGCTATCACCAGAAACCAACAAAACATAGGAATCAGACCAGAAACAGGAATCCTTGCAAAGACTTTCCAGCCACCAGTGGAGAAGATCTCGAGGGAGATCAGTGTGTTACTCTGGCTAATACTCTTCTGGGGAAGTTGCTGGGTGGTTTCCTTAGTTGTAGATATTTGCTCTGGCCTAAGTATAACAAGGCCCAAATTCACCTGCCATTTTACCTCCCACAGAAAGAACCACTGGAAAGATCACTCCTTTAAGAGCTTATCCACATTCAGAGAGAAGCTGAATAAACACTGGGGAGGTATGGCAGGGTGCCGGGCAGTATTATCTGATGTGAAAAAATATATAGAAAGAAAACTATCAATGCCCTTTTACTACCAGAATGTTCTAATGCTTGCCCTTCTCCCTAGTAGGAAAAAAAATTTTTTTCACCTCGCATAAAGCAAAACTCCCTTGTCATCCCTTATGACAGAATCTAGTTGTAGGTGAGTCATGTCATCATAATACAGGCTGTTGTCAACCTCATCCCTCAAAGGAAGAGGATCAGTGAGGAACTTATGTATTTACCTAATAGCATTCACTGCCTGGTCTTATTTCCAACCGAAGGTAAGTATGAAAGACTTTGTGATTCCAGTTTTATAAAGTACAACCCTTTGCACTTGTCCCCTTCCATTGCTAGAGAGTCTATCTGGACCCACCTCACAGAGCAAGATGCTGCAGGTTGTGCTGTGTGGTACGGTGTGGTGTCCTTTTCCTCATCCCTTTCTATTATGTGCCACATATCTATACAAATCATGTTTTCTAAGTATGTAAATCGTATCTCATCAGAATACACCATTCTTTACAATGATAAAGAAGCAAAAGAAAAGCAAAAGGACAAAGAACATCTTAAATGACTACATTCAACTGCCATGGAGCTTTAATTTTTTAACTATTCAAAAAGATATCCACTCTTCTTATTTCAACTATATGACTCTTCTGAAAAAAGTAAAACTATGAAGACAGATTAAACATCAATGGTTGCCACAAGTTGCTAGGGAGTAAGGGAGAGATGAACAGGCATAGTATAATTTTTAGGGCAGTGAAACTGTTCTGTCGATAATATTACAGTAATAGATACATGTCACGTCATTATATATTTGTCCAAATTCACAGAATGTACAGCATCAAGAGTGAGGCCTGATGTAAATTATGAACTTTGAGTGATTATAACGTGTCAATGTAAGTTCATCAGTTGTAACAAATGGACCACTCTGTGGTGGAAAATACTAATAATGGGGGAGGCTATGCGTGTGTGGGAGGCATGGGATATATGAGAAATCTCTGTACCTTCCTCTCAATTTTGCTGTGAACCTAAAACTGCTCTAAGAAATAAGGATATTGATTTAAAAAAGATATTCAGCTGGGCTCAGTGGCTCATGCCTGTAATCTCAGCACTTTGGGAGGCAAAGGTGGGTGGATCACCTGAGGTCAGGAGTTCAAGACCAGCCTGGCCAACATGGCAAAACCTCATCTCTAATAAAAGTACAAAAATTAGCTGGGCATGGTGGCTGGCACCTGTAATTTCAGCTACTCGGGAGACTGAGGCAGGAGAATCGCTTGAGCCTAGAAGACGGAGGTCACAGTTAACTGAGATCACACCACTGCACTGCAGCCTGGGAGACAGAGTGAGACTCCATCTCAAAAAAATTAAAAAGAGATATTCACTGTCTATGCATCCCAGGATCTCCAGAACAACAATTAAAATAAATAAATAAAAAAGATGGCTGGAGTCAGTAGCTCATGCCTGTAATCCCAGCACTTTGAGAGGTCGAGGTGGGTGGATCACCTGAGGTCAGGAGTTCTAGACCAGCCTGACTAACATGGTGAAACCCCATCTCTACTGAATATAAAAAATTAGCAGGGCATGATGGTGCATACCTGTAGTTCCAGGTACCTGGGAGGCTGAGGCAGGGGCGTCATTTGAACCTGGGAGGTGGAGGTTGCAATGAGCCAAGATTGTATCATTGCACTGCAGCCTGGGCAACAAGAGCAAAACTCTGTCTCAAAAAAAATAAGTAAATAAAATAAAACATAAAGATATTTACTGAACCTGTTACTATGATATATTTAAGCAAGACACGGTGACCCTAAAAATTAGAGATTATTGAAGACCAAAGTAACAACATGTGGTCATTATTTCTCAAATCAAAGTATATAAAATATATAAAATAAATAAATGTAATTGCATGCTTAGGTAAGAAAATATTGATAAAAATGATTGAACATTTTATCTTATTTCATAATTCTAAGCAGGGATTTAGCACAATATGAAAACTAGATTATTCATGTAATCCAAATAAAAGACAATTTTTATTCTAATTTTAACTCAGAAATTATTTTGCTTATTTAATTTAACAATTTTACTGAAAGGTAAATGAGATAAATAGGACAGATAATAATTACCTGACATTGCTATGGTAACTTATATATAAATAGCTGTTCATCACCAAAAGTCAAAAAAGTAACCAGCACTGCAACTTAAGATGGATCATACAACAGAAATTAGTACCAAGTTACCTTATCTTATAATATTATGTTATTAAAATGAAATGTTAAAACAACGCCAAAAATTAAGTTGGGGCTATACAAAGTGTGCAGAAAAGATTTCATGTAACAGGCAAGAGACTGCCATACTTAGAAAGGCTTGCATGAAAGGCTGGCCCTTGGCTGCTGTTTAGGAAATTGGAATTGGGAGGGTTTCCAGCATTCCCTGAGAAGAGTGGCTCACTGTGTCTAAAGTGTTTATAAAAACCGTGTGTTTACTCTGAACAGCTGCTTTCCTTATAAGAGTCTGGAATTTGGGTACATGTGAGGGAGAGTAACCTCCATAGAAAAACTTAGACACTTAGTCTCTAACGAGACTCTGGTACTGGTAGACATCGCTGCACATATGTTGTCAAAATGTGAGCCTGGGAGAATTAAGCAGATCCTGGGAACTCCACAGGACAGAACTCCTGGAAGCTTGTGCCTCGTTTCCTCCGGAATTGACCACATGCAACTTTTTCCTCTACTAATTTTGCTTGTCCCCTTTCTTGTTATCAATTAAAGATCTGTTCACTCTGATGGTAGTTTCTTTTGTTGTGCAGAAGCTCTTTAGTTTAATTAGATCCCATTTGTCAACTATCGCAAGAACAAAAAACCAAACACCGCATATTCTCACTCATAGGTGGGAACTGAACAATGAGATAACATGGACACAGGAAGGGGAGCATCACACTCTGGGGACTGTTGTGGGGTGGGGGGAGGGGGGAGGGATAGCATTGGGAGATATACCTAATGCTAGATGACGAGTTAGTGGGTGCAGCGCACCAGACTGGCACAAGTATACGTATGTAACTAACCTGCACAATGTGCACATGTACCCTAAAACTTAAAGTATAATAATAAAAAATAAATAAATAAATAAATAAATAAATAAATAAATAAATAAATAAAACATATGAGTATGACTATTTGCTGAGTCCTATGAGTCCTTCTAATGAACCACCAAACCTGGGGTGGTCTTGGGAAACCTTGAAACGATGCATTGTGTAAGATTTGTATTAAGTCGATATGATACATGTAACTGTAATCAGATGGTTATTTCACAGAATAACTTTCCCTAATCTGTTTTTCTTTTCTTTTTTTCCCTTGATATTTGACTTGGAGATTCTTGTATTTATATATCTATCCAATTGAACAAAACCATAAAACGAATAAATGAAACAATAATGTCAGAAAATAATGTGAAATAAGCAGCAATCCTCTTTTAACTGAATAAAAAATAGAGAATCTGGGTGATTGACAATATGTTCTACAATATGAATGTTTTTAGAAAAAAATGAAAAAGTCAATTTTCTGCAACTCAACTGGGCTTCATTCCTTATTATAATAATCGTGCAGGCCAGGTGCAGTGGCTCAAACTTGTAAATCCAAGCATTTTGGGAGGTTGAGGCAGGAGGATCACTTGAGACCAGAAGTTCCAGACCAGCCTCAGCAATACAGTGAGACCTCATCTATTAAACAAACAAACAAAAACAAAACAAAACAAAAAAAACCCTTAAAAAGAAACTTAGCCAAGTGTGGTAGTGCATGCCTGTAGTCGCAGCTACTTGGGAGGCTAAGGTGAAAGGATCATTTAAGGCCAGGAAGCAGAAGTTACAGTGAGCCAAGATGGCACCACTGCATGCCAGTACTGGAAACAGAGGGAGACCCTGTATCAAAAATAAATAAACAAATAAATAATTGTGTATCAAGCCAGATGTAACCACACAAAACTGTAGTCTCAGCTACTCAGGAGGATGAGGTAGGAGGACTGCTTGAGCCTAGGAGTTCAAGGCTACAGTGAGCTATGATTGCACCAATGAACAGACACTGTATTCTAGCCTAGGCAACATAGAGAGACCCCATCTCCTATGATAATAATAATTGATTAATTGTGCATCATTCAAGTAAATTGTATAACTGGAGAAAAACATATGATTATTGAATATACTATTATAGTCTACTACTGACCATAGAGTTCCTGTTTACTTGCTTCTAATCTTTTTCTTTGTTTCTCATAAAACTAAAAACATGATTTAGACCCATTAAAGGCAGTTCATGGCAAAACAAGTCAAAAAGTCAAAAGAATTGCATCCAAACAGTAGGATGTGTTATCCACCGCTCTCTATGAACAGTTGGATTTGGTCATTAAGAATCAGCAGGACTTTTAACTTTGTGCCTGTGTGCACACGTGTGTGCACATGTGCGTGTGTGTATGTGTACGTATGTAAACTATGACAGATAAAATCATTTTGCTTCTGTAAGAATATGTAATATAACTTGTGCTTCTCATGAAGGAATTGCTTTTCCATCTTCTGTGCTCAGTAGCTATCTTAAAAAAATAATCTCCTATTTGTATGGGTGCACACTGGTTCAGTTCTACAGCTCTTATTGCCATTTATTTATGGTACCCGAAAGGGATTGCTGAGTTCCTGGTTCTAAAGACAGTTACTTTCTTAGTGACACAAATCAATATGTAATACAGTTCACCCTTGAACAGCAAGGGTTTCAACTGCAGGGATTCACCTATATGCAGACTTTCTTCTGCCTCTGCAATGCAGAGACAGCAAGATCCACCTCTCCTCTTCCTCCTCAGCCTAATCAACCTGAAGATCATAAAGACCTTTGCCAGGATCTACTAATGCTTTATGAAAAGTCAATATGTTTTTCCTGATGATTTCCTTTCTAACAGCTTCATTTCTCTAGCTTATTTTATTGTACGAACACAGTATATCATAATCCAGCACAAATAAAATAGGTGTTCATTAACTGTTTATGTTATCAGGAAGGCTTCCAGTCAATGGTGGGCTATTAGTAGCTAAGGTGAAGGAATCAAAAGTTATACTCGGATTTTCAACTGCACAGGGATCAGGGTCCCTTACCCCCACATTATTCATGGGTCAACTGTAGTTATTGTTTACTAAATGTAAACAATTTATTATAAAAATGAAATAGGAGATCCCTTTGTATAACAAGTCCAATTTGTTATAATGTGACTATAGAGGAAACATACAACATATTAACTTAAAAATGTTTGTTCTTATTTATGCAAAAATATTATGTAGGGTTTTAGGGATGATAATTAAATAAATGAATGTTTGTAGACCATAATGTTTGAGATTATAAATTAGCTACAACTACCTTCTTAAATAAATCTGAATTTCAAACTAAAGAAGTTAAATTTAAAAAATTAATTTACATACGTATATACATATATACACATTCAATTTACACATATTTTTAAACTGGTCTTTTTTGACTGACACTACCTTAATCTTATGTCTTACTTCTTATTTTCTTATCAAGAGTAGGACCACCAAGAGAATTAAGAAATTCACTCTCAGAAGCCTTACCTCGTTTCTCCTTTTTAAGTATCTTCTTTTTACGTTCCAAAATTTGTTGTTGAATTCTACATATACAAAAGTAATAAATAAAATTGCTATTTTAATACTGAAATAAAAAATATTTACCAAACATATTAAATTCCAAAACCATTTCAGGCAATATCAGACCTAATATCAGAATTTTAATGTCCCATACACTTCAAATTTTTAAACCTTACAAGCTTATTAAGCTTATAATTAAAGAAGAAAAGAAAGTGAAGTACTCATAAATGGAGGAAGCACAGCTCAGTAAATTAACTCTAGTTAGCTGGATATCATGCAAACTGTCCTGCACTCAGAGTAAGTCCTCACTCTGTAACCAAAATACCTCGCTCTGTAGGTAATTTGTTTTCAGACAAGTTGTTTCTCTTAGGCTCCATGGTTTCTTCTAAAAAATAAGGATTCTGCTACCTTACTTCACTAGGTTGTTTAGAAGATCTAATGAGATTACATGTTTAAATGTTCAGAGAAATAGTAAAGCAATGGAATAATTTATTCTTGAACCTTATTGCTGAAATAATTTTGGAATCCCAAATAGTGCTCCGTGTGTGTTTTTCTATAAGTTCTAATATTCAAATGTTGCAGTTTTCAGAAAATGTTATTAAGTGCTAATTTTGGTTATTACTTGCATTCATTGTGGCTTGTAATTCAGGGCATTTTACCTATTTCATAACTTATTACTAAATTTATATATATATATATATATATATATATATATATATATATATATATATATATATATATAAATTTAATGAGCTCATCATTGAACTCATCAATCACACCAAGGGCAGAAAACTAATAGGTGTCAAAACCTGGCTTGGACAACTACCACTCCTTCTCTACCTCCTCAAACTCTGAGCCAGCAGATTTGTGCTTGGCTGCTGGATCTCCATGGTCCTCTCCAACTAACAGACAAGACAAAACCCTGTTTTGATTGTTTTTCAGTTCCATGAAGGAAATGCAAGTTGACATTTTCTCATTTCCAAGACATGTACTAACAACATGTAACATCCCCTTATTACTCAGCTCTGTTCCCATTTCAGAGATCACCGTACATCAATAGTTTCACAGTGATAATCACAATTTCAATATTGCATGTCACCTGTTTTGGTTTTCCTCACACTGCTTCCTTGGAGCTACTCAACAAATAGTCAAATGGCCCTCCTGGGACTATGCAAAATATGGAATGCTTTCTGAATTTGTGTGCCATCCCTAGGCAGTAGCCATGCTTATCTGCTCTGTATTGATCCAATTTAAAATATGTGCTGTTAAAATAATTACAAAGCCCTGTTTGATACATGGATACTCATGAGTCATGGATGAGGCTTAGCTCTGTTAAATCCAACTCACTTACTTCAGATTCAGAGAATTTTATTGAATGGCTTCCTGTGAGGTAGAATTTTAAAATATATTGAAAACTTGAGGAAGAGCTGCAAGTAGCCCAGGAGATTTTCATGATTATAGAGACACATTACTTGAGGCACCAACTGCAAGCTGGTTCCCACTACTCAGTGGAAAGATAACATGGAACATTCTGCTATCTAACCAAAGCTGCTGCACAGGATATAAAAAAGCCTCAAGGTACAGATCTGATAGCAAAAGGAAAAGGGAACTCTGATCTCTTCCTGCAGCATTATTTGAACATCCCTGACTATTGAGAACAATCCCAACTAATATTGGTTAAAGGAAAGACAAGCATGGCTCTCAAAGGATAACATCCCATGAAGGCCTAGGCAAAGTCTAGCTAAGAGGTGGACTCCAAATAAGGTTTTTAGTGTAGGATGAGCATCAATTTGCTCAATATTTGTGTGGATAAAGCTAGGAGGCCTAGCTACCAGAGCAGGGTGCTGGGAAAAATAACTGAGCACAAGTACATAAACTAATAAACACCGTAGCTTTGACCTGTATATATGAATCACCATGAAAACTGAGAGGTCTGAATCAGTGAAGGCATCCTGGTGACAAAGGTCAATCATTATCAGATTGCAGGTCCGGTTACAATGGCAATAATACAGCAAGTGATGCCATGGAAACAACAGAATGATTAGAATGCCCCTTTTTTTTTCCCTTTCTTCTGACTTGCAAAGAAAGATTGCCTTCCTTGGACTTAGGAAACCCCTTAGCTTCTTGGAAAATTCAAAGAAGGAAGACACAGGAGAGAGCCCCAGGGGAAAATACAAGATTTTCTGCTAAATTGGACATTACAAGACTCAATAACTAATTAGAAAAGTTAGACCAGGCATGGTGGCTAGCACTTTCAGAGGCCGAGCCAGGGGGATTACTTGAGCTCAGGAGTTCAAGACCAGCCATGACAACAGAGTGAGACCTTGTCTCTAAAAAAAAAAAAAAAAAAAAAAAAAAAAAAGAAAGGAAAGGAAAAGAAATCAAAGATGTGGCTCTTTTTATCCAATGCATGGGGATTATACTTAGAATAAAATGAACAACATTGAGATCCCTAGGGATAAAGGTCTCAAAAATCCAGAAAAAATCTTGCACTCTACTTCTAACTAATCTAGACTTCTGCTTGATTTCTGGCTAAAAGGGAGACTAACTCATGGCTATTTCAAACTATCTGAACCAAACTATGAACTCTCACCTAATGTGTAAGATGGAGTAGTTGCAATTATTTTAAACTTCAATTTAGTATCAACTGGCCTTTTAACATAAACACTTACTTTGTCAAATGATGAGAAATAGTGTAATCTTCTGCATCTCGTCCACACGTCTTTAGTGAAGACATCAATATTTTGCTTAAGAAGGATATTGACAATACCTGGTGAGTCATAGTGTATAGCAATCATGAGGGCTGACCTAAAATAACAAAGAAATAACCCCACTCAAGAACTTTAATATCAAAAGCTAGTTTGATACACTTTACCAGTTTAGTATCCTCCTGTCAGTATAGATGTAATAACCATTTGCATGTACTAGCTTGGGTCTATAAGCATCTAGGGTGCTCAAGTGTTCATCTTTGAAAATTGTCACCAAGGCTAAAAGAAAGGGACAACAGGGAAGCCTCTTGTCCCACTGAGGTAAGACATAATACAAGTTGCTAACTTATAGTCCTTTGATGGCCAAGAAACTGTGCTGAGGTCACTTATGTAAAGTAGGCAAAGACTTAGATGAAGATTTCCCCATTCCTTTCCCAGTCCAATCAGCTAGGGGTCAGATAAGAGTTATCTGCAGGCTGAAAACAACAACAACAACAATGACAATAATAATAATGACAATACTAGTAGTCATAAATGAAAAGTCCACACTTTAAAAATTAATAAAACTGGTCAGGTGCAGTGGCTCATGCCTGTAATCCCAGCACTTTGGGAAGCCAAGGAGAGCAGATCACGAGGTCAAGAGATCGAGACAATCCTGGCCAACATGGTGAAATCCCATCTCTACTAAAAATACAAAAATTAACTGGGCATGGTGACGTGCACCTGTAGTCCCAGCTACTAGGGAGGCTGAGGCAGGAGAGTCGCTTGAACCTGGGAGGTGGAGGATGCAGTGAGCCAAGATTACACCACTGCACTCCAGCCTGGCAACAGAGCAAGACTCCATCTCAAAAAAAAAAATAATAAAACTAATACAAAACCCTTTAGCTAATAAAAGATTACAGTACCAAAAACATCTGATCATAAATACCAAACACTCTATATTATAAGAGAAGATGAATCCTACTATATACTATTCTTTATGTTACTCAGTCCAAATATTTGCTGGTCTACCTGATTATTCGTGGTGATATTTTTCATTATATGCCAATAATTATGTTAATCTTCTTATTAATATTTCTGACTTGAGTGACTGTTACCACTCTAGAATACTCAGGTTTTATTTTTAAAAAAAGAACGACTGTACCATCTCAGCCTATCCACAGCATGTGTACTTGCTTTGGTTTTCAATAAAAATTCCACCATTTTCTCTTTCTTGCAAATTATGGTGAATAAAAGTGGGATATTATTGTCCCATGAAACAGCACAAAAAAATTAATAATTCACAAAATTACATATTTCTCAACTGAACAGAAAATCTTCTCTGGGATGATTTGAACTTCAACATACAATATAGAAAGGAAGTAAATGAAAAGCAGCCGCTTCCTTCTCACTCCTCTGTGCTTTCTGATGTGCTGCGCTTTGCCTTGCAACAATCCTCCTCCGTCTCCCCGGATTAACTGTGGTCATTGCCAAAACTCACTTTAAAGGTTTACCAGTCCCAAGAATCCTTGCTTTGATCACAGTACTTAGCATGGTACATTGTAATAATTTCACTGTTTCCCACTGAAACCAAGAGCTTCTTGAGGCAAGGGCTGTATCTTTTGTCTCTATAGCCCCAAAACCCGAAGACATAGTAGCAAACATTTTAAGTTTTTTTACATAAATTAATGATCTAAATTATTCTCACTAAAGCAGTGTTTCTTAAACTATATTCCAAAGAATATTTGCTTTACCAGAAGTATTATACCCCAAGAGAAAGACTCCATGACCATCTGCATTTGAGAAGTATTATAAAACTGTATGTTATGTCCAATAATCAAGAAATCTATTGAATTTTACCTAATCTCCATTTGACAATATTATTTGTGGCAAACATTAACATTTGAGGAATTAAGAGGTTTAGGGGTACAGTTGCCAGAGTTTCCCAATGCAGGTGGAGGTTTCTTCTGGGTGGTACAAACTTGCTTGATTCACTTCTATCAATGCTGTCAGGATCACAGATGCCAATGTCAAGCACTCCTGCTCCAAATGGGTCACTATGGAAATGAACTCTGAATTAGGAGAGATTGGCTTCAAATGCACTTATTTTCCTTATTATTAAATAGTCCATGGGTTTTTTCCCTAATACAAGAGAACAGATTTTTATCTTTACTGTTAGAAAGCTCAGTATGTTCTGTGTAAGAGAAATAGGTTTAAAAAACTTAAGAACAAATATTTAAAAAACCAAAGCTCAGTAAGAAATACCATTCTCAATTATAATGGTAATCCCAGGACCTCAGGGCAGCTCTACTTTTTAAATCCATTTTTATTGGCTTCCACTTAAAGGGCTACTTAAAATTATTTTTTATTTTAGAGAAAATATAAATCAGAAATAAAAACATAATGGCTTATCAATAAAAGTTCTCATACTGATCCATATGAATTATTTCCGGCATAACAAAAGCCAGTAAGTCACTGGCATTTCTAAGGAAGAGCCCTGAGGAGAAAGATGTAATGTCTGCAATATTCATAAATTATCCAACTATAACCAGGAATAACCTAAAAAGGCTTCTAGGCATTCTTATGGGCAGATAATTATTTGTGGTATATATAAAGAAAAGAGTTTCAAAACTTCTAAATTCTAAAATTAAACTCCATAACTGAGGGATTTATATACTATATAGACTATATATTATAACAAATACGTGCTGACTTAAAAACCTTGAAATCTCTATCAAAATATACTATAACATAGGAGTTGTAAACTCAGATACTTACAAGGACAAAGGAAGGTTGCCTGAGTAAAGGAAGTACTAAGGTGGGCACAGTAGCAAACTGGAGAATACATGCATTCTCTAAAGGGGCAACCTCTGCACAGCAGACCAAATAGTGATAGAAACTCAGGGGACAGCAGATTTGATTTTTTAGAATAAGCCTGAAGTCCAGATTTCTACACCAGTCTTCTAAATTTTACATGTTGATTCAACTTATAGAGGCAAACAAACAAATCTGTGTACCACATTAGAATATAGCCCTTGTGTTTTTATATTCGCCATTAATGTGTTACTAAATGGTTGTGTATAATCCAAGTATTTGCATGTAAAATATTTTCTTTCTCTAGTATCATGTTTTACCAAAAAATCAGGCTCTCATATATAATAAAAATTGCTACAAAAGACTCATAATACCTGCTTCAAGAATTTTTCCAACATTTATTCATTTAAAATATATTTGTATATAATTTTCCCAGATTGTTAACCAAATAGATAACTGGTTCATAGGACTGCCAAAACTAAATTATTAAAAGAATTCATATCTGTATTTTTATTAACTCCATGGACTTCAGTGTTTAAAACTGACATTTTGGGTATGCTAAAGCTCTATAAACTTCACAAACACACTGAGCTAGTTCATAATACAACTTCAACTAAAAAAAATAGTTTAGGATTTGCTACTATTCTAATTGAGAAAGCCAAACTTGTAATGAACATTTGTTGACACATAATCACGTGCATGGTGACAAAGGGACATGAAATCATGAAAGGGTCAGCCTCTACTTATTGAAAGATTACCCATAAGCAAATTGCTAAAGACTCCCTGAATGTTAGTGAAGGATTAACGGTGGGAAGGAAAAGGGTGTTATTCTGTAAGCTGAGAGATATTGCCAGTAATATTTCCTTTCACTTCCCAGTCACAGATGTAGAGAAAGACAGATAAGTCAGGCTAATATTACTGAAAAGGAGAACTTTGAATGAAGTAGCACCTATCAAACACCAATTCTTCTAGACATTTCTTACGTTTTTGAGATACAGAAATTTATATGTTGCACTTATCTATTCTGGGGTTCTTAATCAGGAGTGTATCCGAAACTTGAGGGTTTTTTTTTTTTTTTTTTTGCTGTTATTGTTGTTAGAGGCAAGAGTCTCACTATGTTGCTCAAGCTGAACTTAAACTCAGGTTCAAGCTGGGACTACAGGAACATGTCACTGTGCCCACCTTCAAGAAAATGTTTTTAAAAATGTTCAGTCCTTATTAGGTCTATTACATCAAAATCCTCAGGGGAAAGCCTACAATTGTAGATTTTTAACAAAATGTCCTCAGGTCACCGTAATGCACAATTCTGAGAATTAGTGCAGCAGACAATCACTTCAGTCTCATCTCTCACCCGCATGGCTAATTCCCTTTATCAGTTGGACATGTGACCAAAAGGAGAAAAGAGTAAGAGATAGTGTCATTTATTAAAGCTCCAGTTAAATTTCCTGGCTATGGGTAGAACACAGACAAGTAAACTCAAAATCCAACTTGATTTTGCTATTTATAAGCTCCTTATCTCCCACCTTCCCACCAAGACATTCTAGGTTTGAGAGGAGGCTTTAGACTCTTATCTAAGTGGCTGTTTCTGCCAGGATGGGCAATAAGTCAGTTAATAATTTGTTCCACCTTCTGCTGAAGTGTTTCTCACTTCATCACCACCTATTCACTGCCAATCTGGTTTCCTCAAAGTCTTCTTAAAATTAATCTCTAGGCAAGTTTCAACTCACTCTCATTTTCAAACCAAAAATTATTAGACCCAAAGCTAAGGAGCACCTTGTCTCAACACATAAACTGGAAGAATAACAAACTAAGAGAAGAAAAAAAAAAACTCTTCTTGACATTTTCCCTCATTACCTAATTTCCAAGTGACCTGCAAATTTCTGATTGCTCTCCTTTTCCCTTCCCATTTTTCCCTCTTAAGCCTTGTGCCACTGAGAGATGATACATCAGTTTTTTAGAAAATTATCAGCAGCAGCAACATGTCCACTTATTGTAAATTGCTTTAGTTTTGTTTGAGTTTTAAAATAAAACCTATTTCCAGGGCATATTTTCTTTCCTGTGTTGTTTTGTACTAATTAGGGGGGAAAAAAAGGAAAGAACAACCCTGCGTAGAAAAAAAGTTGAAAAGGTTTTACCTTTAACAAATTCACAAGTATTTTCCAAAGTGCGTTTTATAAAACTGTACCCTTTAATGCACCTTTAAAAGCATCAATATTTAAAATAAAATCTTAGACAATTATTTCAAAATAATTTGCATTTGCATTCAGGGAATGGTTGAGCTTCCAAATATAAAAAATTGACCCTTACCTGTGTCAATGTTAAAACAAATATTTTGGAAAGAAAGTTGATTGATCTATACCTTGTCCAGTGCTTCAATATTTGCACCATGGAAATGCAGTTTTTCTGCCAGTGAGGTGCTCTCACTATACACAGCATAATGGAGAGCAGTGTTGCGGTAGATATCCTTAAGGTTTGGATTGGTGCCATGTTCCAGCAGAATAACAGTGCAAGCCTCTTCCTGGCAATGGACAGCCTGTCTGTATTAGACCAAGAAATAGATTGTAAATTCTAAGAAATTCAAAATAAACATTCCACAGGTTTCACCAACTAGTTATATTTAAATGAGATCAATTTATTTTAATTCTATGTATGCAAATCAAATCCATGTCATGATAAAAGAGTTGGCTCTAATATACCTGTATCAAAGGCGTTCTATTTTCTTTGTCACAGATATCAATCTGGCATTTTCTGCTAACCAGGAGAGTGACCACTTTCACCTGGTCACTGGCACAGGCCAAATGTAGAGCAGTTCTATGAGAGTAAGAGGACTTTTTAGGAAACTGTAGTGCAACGTCTCAAAACATACAATCATTCATGTAACTGTAAAAATTGAATAGCATGTTTTTCCTCTGCCTTCAAAACAAATACTTAATTTTTTTGAAGAAAGCACAATACTTACTAGCTCTTATTGATCACTGCCTTAATAAAAACAGCAGCCTATTTGAATAGAAAGAGCTCAGTCTTTGGATTCAGTTCAACTAGGGCTTGAGTCCTACTTTAAACCCTGTCACTTACCAACTATTGCTTAGCCTTTCTGTATTTCAACTTCCTCATTAATAAAGATGACAATAGTAGCTATCTCATAGGACACCATCATGATGCTTAAATGAGAAGTTATGTATTTAGAATACTTCCTATAACTCAATAATTATAAGATTTTTGTTTTTTGAGACAAAGTCTCACTCTTTTGCCCAGGCTGGAGTGCAACGATGTAACTATAGCTCACTGCAGCCTGGAACCCCAGGGCTCAAGCGATCCTCCTTCCCCAGCCTCCTGAGTAGCTGGGACTACAGATGTGCACCAGCATGCCCAGCTATTTATTTAAAAATTTTTGTAGAGTAAGAATCTCACTTTGTTGCCCAGGATGGTCTCAATCTCCTGGCACCAAGCAATCCTCTCACCTCAGCCTCCCAAAGTTCTGGGATTACATGTGTGAGCCACTGCACCCAGCCAGATATTATAATTGTTACTATTAATACTACTTAAAAAAACATTTTAATTAGGTAAAAGACACAATTATACCTACTTTGCAGGATGGCTTAAAGAGTAGGTCACATTTTAATACTTCTGACATTGGAATGTCACTTATATTATTATAACTGTAATTGGTAGCATTTTAAAAATTATCTTATCGATATATAAAATAGCGGGGCATCTCACAATCCATGAGACCTTACATTAAGTAGAATATGGTGTACGCAGCAGGTCTAGGGCAGTTCTAGGCATATAACTGGCATGTAAATACATTTTAGTTCTTAAAGGTACTATGGGGATAGAACACTGAAATAATGCATTTTTTAAACAAATTAATTCCTTGATTTTCAAACAAATTGAAGACAAAGGAAACTCATGATTCAAATGAATACATATGGCTTATTTTATTCAATATTTATGCTTACAGAATATATGCAAATAAGACATTCCCATGATTAATATTAGTATTTAAGACTGATAAACTTTTGAATGGGCAGTTTAAGCTTATCTTCTACTATTTTCTAACTTCAGAAATGCTTTTGTTTGAAAGTTGGGAGACAAAGTTTCAAGGAGATTAAGTCCCAATATTCCTATTTTAAATCTCTCAGCTTCTGCAGGCAGGGCAGGTAAACATGAAGTTTTTAAGGATAGAAGGGTCCTGAGAGATAGCAGAATATGTCTGCTACATAACAGGTACTCAGGTTATGTTTGATGAATAAATAGAATGAAAGAATGGATAAATACAGTTGGGGAGTTCAATATTTTTAAATAAACTCCTATAAAGCAATATTTTTGCAATAGTAATTATTTATAATGTTATTTTTATTTTTAAAGAATACAATTAAAATAAAATGATTAATCTATCATTGTTTGCATAAATTGAATGAATACATAAGAAAAACATATGTACATAATAAAATATATAGATAATAAAATCTGGAAACAGATAAAAACATTCCCTTTTTACTTCTGAAGAGGCTAAAAGTTCAAAGAAGATAACAATACACTCAATAATGATAAAAAATAGAAAGCAAGAAATTATTTTTAATATTGTAAGATTCATATTCCTGTCTTCCCAAGGATTATTCCTTTATTAATAAATTTTACTAGAAGTTTTGTACATGCTCACTGCAGCAATCACAGATAAGAAAAAGGAAAAGAACTTTACTTAAAATTAATTGATTTTTTTCCTCACTAGCTACAACAAAATACCTCTTCGCACATCAATATACTTCTGTATCTATTGCCACCTTCAATGGTCACATATTATTCCATCCTGTTGATGCAACTGAAATTTATTTATAGGATCCATTCTTTGGGTTCTTTTTAAAATAAGTGAGGTGAAAAATAAAGTGCATGTATCTTTATTTCCTGAGGGTGTTTTAGTATAATGGAATTGATGGGTAAAGGGCATACATATTTTTTAATTGTAGTACTTACCACCAAATTATCTATTTGAAAAATAATCAGCAACTTAAACTTTAAGCAGGAGTATAAAACATCCTCACAAATATTGTGGATAGAAAACTGTTTCATTCCTCTTTTAATTTAAATTCTTATACCAGAAATGCGAAGGACTTTTTCCTATGTACACAAGTAACTTGCAGATCTGGAAAAGTGTACTTTGCCCAATTTTAGAGTGTTTGATGATTTGATTTGAAAGAATTCCCTGTCAAATGAAAATGTACTTTTCATCTAATGTGTATATATAACTGATATATATGACATATTATATCTGGTATATATGTATATGTATCAGATATATATATATATATATATATATATATATATATATATATATATATAAAACTTATGATATATAATAAACAACATAGGCCGGGCGCGGTGGCTCACACCTGTAATCCCAGCACTTTGGGAGGCGGAGGCGGGCAGATCACTTGAGGTCAGGAGTTCGAGACCAGCCTGGCCAACGTGGTGAAACCCCCTCTCTACTAAATATACAAAAATTAGCCAGGCACGCTGGCACCTGCCTGTAATCCAAGCTACTTGGGAGGCTGAGGTAGGAGAATTGCTTGAACCCGGCAGGCAGAGGTTGAAGTGAGCCAAGATTGTGCCGTTGGACACCAGCCTGGGCAAAGAAGCGAGACTCTGACTCAAAAAAAAAAAAAAAAAAAGAATATAATGAATTCCCTATAAAATGAAAACATACTTTTCATCTGAAAATACATATATATATAATATAGTAAATATTTTTCAAGTAAGCTCTCTTATCTGAGAACTTTTCGCCTACTGAAATAACTCACGGTATTTTTGATAGGGGAATGAGTTCTCTCATTAGGCACCTCCTATAATGTATATAAACCATGTTTTCAACGTGTACGTTAAAAATAACAACACTGTGTATGCTTAACTTTGTGAGTTAAATCACTCAAATTCTCCAACTGCTCCAGCCAGGGAATTATGAGGGATGGAAAACAGCTGAGAGTCCGTTTGGCTCCGCCGTTCTGAGGGTGCCCGGAGCCCTGAAAGGCCCTGTCCCAGGGGCTGCGGGGAAGCCGGGCCTGGGGACCCCCTCCCACCCTGGGCTGAGCCCCCGCTATCTGTGCTGCTTGTTCAGGGCGTCTAGGTCTCCACTCCTGCGCGCCAGGCAGCGCTCCACCCCCGCGGCGTCGCCCTTGACAGCTGCCCTGTGGATCTTCTGCAGTTCGGAGTCCCGGATTCGGTATCCGAACCCGTGTAGACATGTTCTATGGAGCCCTGGGCCGTCTGGCCCCTGCGGCTCCCAAAGCCGAATAACTTCACAGTGGTGACTTCTCAGACCCCCAACCTCCGGCTCTTGAGCGGGGGCAGCTCCCTGTCACCTTTTCACCACCCCCCTCCCGCGACCCCGGCCGACCTCCCTGTCACCTTTTCACCAACCCCCTCCCCCGAACCCGGCCGACCCAGCCCCAAATCCCCTATCCAACCCGAAATCCCTGATCCAACCCCAAATCCGCGATCAACCCCCAATCCGCGATCCCAAATCTGTGATCTACTCCACAGTCCGCGATCCGGCCCGGTCCACCACAGCCTTCAGCAGCGACACTCGCAGCCTCCGACCTCTCAGGCCGAGTGAGCCTCGCAAAGGCCTTGGGCGCGCGCCTGCATGGCGGTTGCTGCCCGGCTCCCGGAAGCCGCTCCCTGGCGGCGCGCGCTGGCAGGTGGGGCTGCAGCTCTGGGCGGGCGCCGATGGGCTCGCCGGTCCTCTTTGGATCGCCCGGGCGGCCCCAGGATCGCAGGAGCGCCGCCAGCCCGGCCTGAGAAGGAGGGCCTGTCTGGCATTGCAGCCCGCCCCGCTCCTCCTCGGAAGGGAGATAGGGTGCTGGCAAGAGCACTCCGCGGCCACCTGGGTGGCTTCGCGGATGGCCCGGCTTCACGCTGAGGCTCTGGCCCTGGAGTCTGTGTGGCTAGTGTCAGGTAGCTGGAGAGGCATGGAGGCAGAGTCAGGGGCTGCTCCTTCCCCCACCAGCCCTCACTGCTGCCAGTACCCCACGCGCGGTTTGCAGCTGCAGATCTGGCACTGGCGTGGGATGGCGGAGCTTCCCTTGGATGGCCTCAGGGTCGCAGAGCGCACAGCCCACCTGGCCTCAAGTTCCGCTCCTCTTGGGCATCTCTCTGGATCCTGGGCCCTGGCGCTGGGCACTCTCTATCCACACGGATGAAACTGAGCGGCTGCTGGCGGGGCCCGTCGCCTGATTTTACTGCCTGGGGGTCTGGCCTCAGTATCCGCGCTGCTGGGGGGTGGGCCTGGTCTGGGCTGTCCAGTCACTTACTGCCGGTGCACCACGTCTAGACTGCAGCTGCGGCTCCGATGATGGTGTGAGCTGGCGGGCCTGGTACCTGATGTCCTCAGGGTCAAGTGCATCGCCCGCCCACTTGAGGGGTTGCTGTGACTTGGCCTCCTTCAAGAACGCAGGGGCCGCCGGGGCTGGCTCTTCGTGGTAACCGGGATGGTATTGAGCAGCAGATTTTCACCCTGGTGCCACTGCTGTGCGGACTGCCTGACTTGGGTGCCCAGGCACCGGCCTCAGGGTGCGCGTGGCAGCTGTGTGTGCGGGTAGGGGGAGTGGCACGGAGGGTCAGGGGTTGCTTCGTCATCTCTGCCTGTGTGCAACTTGCAGTTTTGCAGTTTTCTGCAGCAGCTGAGGTGCTGGCGCGGGAAAGTGGAGCTCCCTTGGATGGCGTCAGGTTTGCAGGCACAGAGCACAGCCCACCAGGCCTGAGGGTCTACTCAGGGGCCATGGTGGTTGAGTTCTCCGTGGAAACTGGGATGGGGTGAACGGCCAGTTCCCGTCCTTTGGCAGCCTGGCCAACTGCCAGACTTAGCCTCTGCCGCCCAGGCATCTGTCTCTAGGGTTGCCGCTACTTGGATAGAAGTGGGGATCGGGGTGGGGCGTGGAGCGTCACCGGTTGCCAGGCCAGCACTGTCTTTGCAACATATTCAGATGGCCGCGGGCAGCTCGGGCACCAGCATGGGCTGGCGGGGCTCCCCTGGAAGGCCCTCAGATTGCTCACAGCATTGTCCCAGGGCTTCCTTGGCCTGTGCCATGTGGGCAAGGTAGGGGGGAGCTTCCAAGGCTTCTATCCCAACTCTAGCTATTTCTAGCTATTTTCTCTTGAGTTATTTTGCGTCTATCTCAGTTTTATTTGCAAAAATAGTATATGCAAAATACATCGAGTGAATGTACATCAGGCATATAGAAGATCTGGCAGAAACACGTTTTCTCATGCCCATTTCCAGTCAGTATTTGAACACAGACGCTTCCATGGTTTTGATTCTTTCCACAAAAGGATAGTTTTGTCTGTTTTCACCATTTACATAAGTGAAACTATACATTATATAATTTTATGTTCATTCACTAAACATGCTTGTGACACATCATTTTGCTCCTATTGATTATTCATTAATTTTATTTTGTAATACTCAATTTTATGACTATACCACAGGTTTGAGGCCTTTGCTTGTTTTGTTTTTAATCCATTCCACTATTGATAGACACAAAAGCAGTTTCTGATTTGAGGCTATCATGAATAAACCTGCTATGAATGAATCAGATATACACGTTTTTCTGTAATAATATTTTCACTTTTCTTGAGTTTAAGTACATAAGAGTGGATTTTCTGGGTTACAAAATAAGTATATATTTGGCATTGTATGAAATGGGGAGACATTTTCCTAAGTGGTTGTGCCATCTTAAACTACAATGAAAATGTTTGAGAGAATCAGTTCCACTTTCTAACCAACACTTGATGCTGTCAGTTGTTTTAGTGTTATCCATTCTTATGGGATATAACTGCTGAGTAGCTGTCTGCCTTCCCAATAACACAGAAAATTGAGGGCCCAGAGGACAGTTTTATTTTCATATTTGACACCTTCTATTATTTTTTATAGAAGGGTGATTTGGGTAGTAAAATTGTCTTTCAATTTTCTAGGTTGTCTCTGAATCTTACTGGGGTTCCTGGTCCTAAACCACATTCAGAAATTTTCACGACCAACTTATTTTTATCTTTGTCATACCAGGCCAATGAGGGACTGCATTCCTGAGACTTTTTAAGTACTTTTTGTGTGTATGATGGTCTAATAATCATAGTCTTAAAACTTTCTGGCTGGGCATGGTGGCTCATGGCTGTAATCCCAGCACTTCGAGAGGCCGAGGCGGGCGGATCACCTGAAGTCGGGAGTTTGAGACCAGCCTGACCAACGTGGATAAACCCCAACTCTACTAAAAATAAAAAAAAATTAGCTGGGCATGGTGGCACATGCCTGTAATCCCAGCTACTTGGGAGGCAGGAGCTACTTGGGCTGAGGCAGGAGAATCACTTGAACCCACGAAGTGGGGGTTGTAGTTAGCCGAGATCACACCATTGCACTCCAGCCTGGGCAACAAGAGTGAAATTCCGTCTCAAAAAAAAAAAAAAAAAAAGAATCTCAGACTTCTGGGAAACACTGAATTTGTGAATATGTACAGCATGTCACAATAACTTTTTTTTTTTGAGACCAAGTCTCACTCTGCTGTCCAAGCTGGAGTGCAGTGGCCCATCTCAGCTCACTGCAACTTCTGCCTCCTAGATTCAAGCAATTCTCCTGTCTTGGCCTCCTGAGTAGCTGGGATTACAGGTGCTGCAACCATGCCTTGCTAATTTTTGTATTTTTAGTAGAGACAGAGTTTCACATATTGGCCAGGCTGGTCTCAAACACTTCACCTCAGATGATCCACCTGCCTCAGCCAATGGGTGGATTGTTAACTCAAAATACGCACCATTGAATACTGAGGAAAATGTATAGCCATCAACACCAGCAGCTGAGATGAGAGTTGAGATACCAGAAATGCCCCAGCATGTAACTCCTCTTTTAATTCTCACACACACACACACACACACACACACACGTACACTCATGGTAACCAGTTCAGGATGGACACAGAAACAGTCACAGTCTTTTTGGGGAACACACTCCCCTGTGACACTTAGATCCTAATGCTGACTCCAATTCCCTCCCAGGACCTCCCCTCTCCTTGCAGCGTGCTAGGCTTTCCCTTAGAAAACTCCATGTCATTTCATTCAATGGAACATCAATCAGCTTCACCCACAGTGTCTGCATGTCTCTGTCCATAGCAAATGTTTTTATTACTTTAAAATATAGATTTTTACCTTAACTAGCCAAGACTTAGGACCCTTTTTCCAAGCTCTTTTAGATGAAGTAATAAATGCAAATATTAGAGTTGTGTATATGTGTATAAATATATGGAGAAAAGATGTTGCCTAGTTGTACAAATTAGCCTTAACAAAACTCCTGATTTAAATTATTTAATTGTGAGAAGGGCGATTCTAACTCAACACATCAATGAAATAAAAGCCTTATCCCTCTGCTCCGCCAAAATATCCCATTTAGAGCCTGCGTGTGTGTGTACACACACGTGTGCACTCATCCCCATCTGACCGTATCAAATTATTATTTAAACTAGATATTTTTACTTTGTTTCATAGTAGTAATGGTTTCTGGAATGGAAAAAAAAAAAGGAGAATAAAACTGTTTAAAATGTATCTCCAGGTGAACGCTGTGGCCACTGCACCGACCCCGCCGATGGCGCCCAGTACCTGCGTCTCAGGAAGAGGTTCTGGCGGGGCCTCTGCCTGAGGCCGCGCCCCTGGGACCTGTCCCGCGTCCACGTGAACGCGGAGCGCAGCATTCACCATCCCCTCCCTGAAACAGCGGTCCCCGAGGTGCTCCACAGGCAGGGCCGAGCTGGGCGAGGGGGAGCCCAGGCCCTGCACCGGCCGCCCTGAGCGGCGGGGACGTAAGAAGAGCTCACCGGCTCCACCAGCCCCTACCCCAGACGTGGGACCTGGGACCAGAAAAGACCTGGAACCCCCGCCCCACGGCTGCCAGGAGGCTGACAGGGACAGCTCCTGGGGGGGCTACAGCCCCGAGGCCGTTCCGCCAGAACTTGAGCCACTTGGGAAGGGGCAGCGCCCCACCCCTGAAGAGGAACCTGTGTCCTGGAGGCAGCAGCCTGGGAGCTCCTCCTCTGAGGACAGGGCAGAGGCGAATGACTCTGGTGGCGCAGCGCTGGCTTTCCCGTCCGAGGAGAAGGAGAGCTGCGGGGCTGGGTGAGCTGGACCAGGGAGCATGGCTGGCTGCTGTCGGCCTCCGATGGGGAGTGGACAGCTTAGGGGGTTGCCCCCGTGCCAACCGGTCTGCTGGCCACGCTGAGCTTCATTACCGCCTCACCTGCCTGCGCAGGCACCTAGCACCCCAGGCTGGAGCTTTTGGCCATGCTGGTCAACTTCCCCAATGAGCCTCCGCTGCCTGGGAACAGCAAGGCCAGGGCTACACTGCCCTGCACTTGGCAGCCATGTACCTTGGAGATGGTGAAGCTGCTAGTCAGGACCTAGGACGCCGATGTGGACATCAGGGACTACATTGGGAAAAGGGCCTCCCAGTATGTGAGTCAGAGCATCATAGAAGAGATCGAGACCCTGGTGGGAGTCCTGGACGAGGACGACGGGGAGAGCACCGCCAGCAGCGGGGGTGGGTACTGAAAGATTTAAAAGGTGCCCCCTCTATTTCATCACCTACAAACTCTCACACGTCCTGGAAGATGGGGGGACCCTCTTCACCATCACCACTTGGCTGAAGGTGGTTCAGAGGCGAAGCCAAGGATTCCAGGGCGCACAGCCTCGGGCAGGACTAATAGACTTAAAAAACACAGGCTCAACAAAATCCACTTCACAACCCAGATGGTTCACATCACACCCTCTTTCAGGGACCCAGAGCAGCCACTGGAAGAGAAGGAGTAGGAACGCTCTCTTAAAGGCCACTTATCCTATTCCTTCAAATTAAGACCAAAGTCCAATGTATTTAGGTAAAAATAATTTCTTTTAGAAAATGCTAAGGTTTGTCTTATGAAATTTAATAACAGAAACAAAAAAAGAACACTAGATGTAAGGAAGTGGGACCAGAAAAGACAAACTAAACTATCCTTACTAGGTTGGAATGGATGGGGTGGAGTTCCCATCAGGCTAGCATTCTGGGGAAAGTGTTTTTTTTGTTGTTTTCTTTTTTGTTTGTTTGTTTTTTGTTTTGTTTTTTTTGGCGGGGGGGCACGGAGTCTCGCTCTGTCGCCCAGGATGGAATGGCCTTTGACATGTCAATGTTTTATTGTAAATCGTGACAGACTATCTACATAGAATACTCATGATTTACAATCTGAGATTGTCAACCCAGCCAGTAACCTATGTAGCACTGAATTCAAATACCAGAAAAAAGACCCAGATTCCCTCACCACCTAGCAGAGCTCAAGTGAGCTACACAGCCTGGTAGGGAATGGGGAGCAATTAAAAGGTTGTAAGCAGGTACTACTATAGTCAGATGAGTTTTTGACAGGTTATTCTAAAAGCACTGAGAAAAGAAAACTGTTGTAGTATTCCAGATAAGATCATGTGGTCTGTAAAAGGACAGTGTCAAGGATATAGAAAAGAACAATCAAGGAATTTCAAAAAAAGTCTTCCTCAAGTTTACCATCAAAAAGTGCTACACACTATTTGCAAGTATTTTCTTCCATCTTGTGAGTTGTTTTTTCACTTTCTTGATGGTGTCCTTTGAAGTGCAAAAATGTTTAAATTTGATGAAGTCCAATTCATCAATTTTTATTCTTGTTGATGGTCTCATATTTAAGAAAACTTTGCCAAATTCAAGGTCATGATAATTTGCTCCTATGTTTGCTTCTCAGGATTTTATAGTTTTAGTCCTTATGTTTATGTGGATTAGCTCAAAATGGGTCCATTTGATCCATTGTTTTTGCATCCATAGTTTTTGAATATGGTGTTGGGTAAAGGTACTACTCCAGGTTTTGCATATGTTTACATATCTAGTTGTCCCTGTGCCAGTTTTCAAACATCTTTCCCCACTGAATAATCTTGGCACCCTTGTCGAAAATCAGTGTTTATATATGTATGGGTTCATATCTGACTCTCAATTCTATCCCACTCGTCTATACATCTATCCTTCTGCCAGTATTATATTGTCCTGATTACCATTGTCTTGTAGTAAGTTTTAAAGTCAGTAAGTATGAGTTCTCCTACTTTGTTCTCATTTTCAAAAGAGTATTTTGGCTATTCTTAGTCCTTTGCAATTCCATATGAGTTTGAGAGTCAGCTTGTCGATTTTACAGAGAACTCATCTGGGATTCTGACAGGAATGAAGTTAAATCTGTAGACGAGTTTAGGGAGGACTGCCATCTTAACAATCTTAAGCCTTCGGTCCATGATCATGGGATACTTTTACATTTATTTAGATCTTCTTTCATTTCTTTCAACAATATTCTATAGTTTTCAGAGTACAAGTTTTACACTTCTTAAATTTATTAGTATTTTATTCTTGTTGATGCTATGATAAATGAAGTTGCTTTCTTAATTTCATTTTCTGATTGCTCATTGTGAGTATGTAGTACTCAGTTAAAGTGTGTCAAATACTATTGATTTTTGCATATTGATCTTGTATCCTGCAACCCTGAAGAACACAAGGGATTTGTGTCTGGCATACATAAGGAACAATTACAATTCAGTAATAAAAAGACAAAACAACCCAATTAGAGATGGATAATTCAAGAATGGATAAAAAAACTGCAATACATGCAAACAAATGGAATATTATTCAGCAATTTAAAAAGTGAGCTATCAAGCCATGAAAAAACACAGAAGAACCCTAAATGTATACTGCCGGGTGAAAGAAGCCAGTCTGAAAAGGATACATACTACATGATATTATACGACATTCTGGGAGAGGCAAAATTAGAGAGTAAAAAGATCAGTAATGACCTTTGACAAAATTCAACAACCCTTCATGCTAAAAACTCTCATTAAATTAGGTATTGATGGGACGTATTTCAAAATAATAAGAGCTATCTATGACAAACCCACAGCCAATATCATACTGAATGGGCAAAAACTGGAAGCATTCCCTTTGAAAACTGGCACAAGACAGGGATGCCCTCTCTCACCACTCCTATTCAACATAGTGTTGGAAGTTCTGGCCAGGGCAATTAGGCAGGAGAAGGAAATAAAGGGTATTCAATTAGGAAAAGAGGAAGTCAAATTGTCCCTCTTTGCAGACGACATGATTGTATATCTAGAAAACCCCATTGTCTCAGCCCAAAATCTCCTTAAGCTGATAAGCAACTTCAGCAAAGTCTCAGGATACAAAATCAATGTACAAAAATCACAAGCATTCTTATACACCAACTACAGACAAACAGAGAGCCAAATCATGAGTGAACTCCCATTCACAATTGCTTCAAAGAGAATAAAATACCTAGGAATCCAACTTACAAGGGATGTGAAGGACCTCTTCAAGGAGAACTACAAACCACTGCTCAAAGAAATAAAAGATGATACAAACAAATGGAAGAACATTCCATGCTCATGGGTAGGAAGAATCAATATCGTGAAAATGGCCATACTGCCCAAGGTAATTTACAGATTCAATGCCATCCCCATCAAGCTACCAATGACTTTCTTCACAGAATTGGAAAAAACTACTTTAAAGTTCATATGGAACCAAAAAAGAGCCTGCATTGCCAAGTCAATCCTAAGCCAAAAGAACAAAGCTGGAGGCATCACACTACCTGACTTGAAACTATACTACAAGGCTACAGTAACCAAAACAGCATGGTACTGGTACCAAAACAGAGATATAGATCAATGGAACAGAACAGAGCCCTCAGAAATAACACCGCATATCTACAGCTATCTGATCTTTGACAAACCTGAGAAAAACAAGCAATGGGGAAAGGATTCCCTATTTAATAAATGGTGCTGGGAAAACTGGCTAGCAATATGTAGAAAGCTGAAACTGGATCCCTTCCTTACACCTTATACAAAAATCAATTCAAGATGGATTAAAGACTTAAACGTTAAACCTAAAACCATAAAAATCCTAGAAGAAAACCTAGGCATTACCATTCAGGACATAGGCATGGGCAAGGACTTCATGTCTAAAACACCAAAAGCAATGGCAACAAAAGACAAAATTGACAAATGGGATCTAATTAAACTAAAGAGCTTCTGCACAGCAAAAGAAACTACCACCAGAGTGAACAGGCAACCTACAAAATGGGAGAAAATTTTCGCAACCTACTCATCTGACAAAGGGCTAATATCCAGAATCTACAATGAACTCAAACAAATTTACAAGAATAAAACAAACAACCCCATCAAAAAGTGGTCAAAGGACATGAATAAACACTTCTCAAAAGAAGACATTTATGCAGCCAAAAAACACATGAAAAAATGCTCATCATCACTGGCCATCAGAGAAATGCAAATCAAAACCACAAGGAGATACCATCTCACACCAGTTAGAATGGCAATCATTAAAAAGTCAGGAAACAACAGGTGCTGGAGAGGATGTGGAGAAATAGGAACACTTTTACACTGTTGGTGGGATTGTAAACTAGTTCAACCATTGTGGAAGTCAGTGTGGCAATTCCTCAGGGATCTAGAACTAGAAATACCACTTGACCCAGCCATCCCATTACTGGGTATATACCCAAAGGACTATAAATCATGCTGCTATAAAGACACATGCACACGTATGTTTGTTGCAGCATTATACACGATAGCAAAGACTTGGAACCAACCCAAATGTCCAACCATGATAGACTGGATTAAGAAAATGTGGCACATATTCACCATGGAATACTATGCAGCCATAAAAAATGATGAGTTCATGTCCTTTGTAGGGACATAGATGAAATTGGAAATCATCATTCTCAGTAAACTATCGCAAGAACAAAAAACCAAACTCTGCATGTTCTCACTCATAGGTGGGAATTGAACAATGAGATCACATGGACACAGGAAGGGGAATATCACACTCTGGGGACTGTTGTGGGGTAGGGGGAGGAAGGAGGGATAGCATTGGGAGATACACCTAATGCTAGATGACGAGTTAGTGGGTGCAGCGCACCAGCACGGCACATGTATACATATGTAACTAACCTGCATAACGTGCACATGTACCCTAAAACTTAAAGTATAATAATAAAAAATAAATAAATAAATAAATAAATAAAATAAAATGTTCTACATAATACTGTAATGGTGGGTACACAACATTATGCATTTGTCAAATCCAAAAATCTGTAAAACACAGAGTGAACCCTAATGTAAACTACAAAATTCAGATATAAGTATCAGTTCATCAAATCTTTTAAATGTAGCACAGTAACACAAGGTGTTCAGAGCTGGGAAAACTGGGCGGGGGCACTGTAGGGGAGCATATGTGAACCTCTGTACTTTTCTATTTTTTCCAAAACTGCCAAAAAAAAATCTATTATGTTTTTAAAATAAAATGATCCCTAGCAGGAAAAAAAAATGGCAAAAGATCTCAACAAATATTTCCCCAAAGAAGATATACACATGGCCAATAAGCATGAGATAAGACACTGGACATTACCTTCAATAGGAAAATACAAATGAAAACCACAATGAGATACAATTTCACATATATTAGAATGGCTACAATTAAAAAGTCACACAGTAAGTGTTTGTGAAAATGTGGAGCAACTGAAATTTTAATATACTGCTGGAGGGAATAAAAAATAATGCAGCCATTTCAAAAAGCAGTTTGGCAGTTCCTCAATTAGACAGTTATCATGCATCTGAGCAATTCTGCTCCTAGATAAACACCGAAGAGAAATGTCTACACAAAAACTTGTAAACCAACGTTTATAGCAGCATTATTCGTAATAGCCAAAAGGGGTAAACAATGTCCTAAGTGTCCATTAACTGACAAGTGCATAAACAAAATCCAGTGTATCCATGTAACAAAGTATCATGTGGCCATAAAAAGTAAGTACTGATACATGTTACGGCATAGACAAACCTTGCAAGCATTATGCCAAGTGACAGAATCCAGTAACAAATCCCATATGATAGATAATCCCATTTATATGAAACACATGTAATAGGGAATCCAGAGGCAGAAAGATTGGTGATTGCCAGCGCTACAACTGCGGGGATGCAGATGATGGATGTGGAGAGACGGAATTGAAAGCTAAAGGCACAGGAGGCAGGATGTTGTGGTCCATGCCTGTACTCCTAGCTACTAGGGAGGCTGAGATGGGAGGATTGCTTGAGCCCAGTAGTTCAAGACTGCACTAAGCTATGATTACACCACTGCACTCCAGCCTGGGCTGGTTGACTGAGCAAAACCCCATCTCTTAAAAAAATAAATAAATAGAAATAAAATAAGGTAAAGGGCATAGGATTTCATTTGTAATTTTTTTTGAGGTGGAAAAACAATTCTAAAATTGATTGGAGTGTTGGTTCCCAACATCTGTGAATATACTAAAAACCACTGAACTATATACTTTGAGTGGGTGAATTACATGGCATGTGAATTACCAATAAAGCTGTTTTAGAAATCCTAATATTTGCTGTGCTATAACTGCGGCAAAGTACCGCAGGGCAATAATTGCAGAGCCAGCCCTACCGTTACAGTATGACACAGGAAAACTTAAAACTGCACTTACGATCAAGCTAGATGCAGAGCATATTAGCACAGCAAAAATAATTGACTACACTAAAGACCCATCCTTCAAGGATTACAGAATTTAAGTGCTGAAAAGGAGAGTACAACTCCTCTGTTTTTTTAAAAAAGGTAAGAACTCACAAATTAATTAGTCACTTGTAAAATTCTGGATAGCTAAGAGATTTTCAAATATAATTTAAAAGAAAACACACGACCAAGACAATAATGGAAATCTATAGATAAATTTACTATTACCTTTAGCTTCTGAACACACAGCCAAAAATCCATCTTCTGTCACTGCTTTAAACAAAGGTCTGACTCCTTATGTATCTCTGCCCAGGAACAGTTTCTTGTTAGCAGAATCCAGTAAAACAAATGTAAACACACTATCCAACATACAAATTGTTTGCTCAATTCCTCCTTTGTCATAAAGATGAAGGATTATGTCACCATCCACTTTGGTCTGGTATTCAAATTCAAAACGGTGCTGCACCTTAGGAAGCAATAGCAAAACCAAAACGTTATAGACTCCTTGTGCATTCACTAATAATTTTTTATCACAAAGTTGCTTTAGTATTTCTGGAGCTCTAAAATCATTTCATGCACTTTGGTGATTTAGGAGAATCATAGCATTTTCAAACTAGGGTTTGCTTCAACTCATAATTCTGCAAATTCTGTTCAATATAAAGCTGAACCCATGAAAGCTTTAGTTGCAGTCTGATAAACAGAATATAATGGGAGTGTACCAGAATAGTAACCTGTGGAAGAATGGAAATTCATATTATATACATATTATGTATGTGATACATAAATATTTTTATATATGCAGATTGAGTATCCCTTATCTGAAATGTTTGGAACCAGAAGTGTTTTGGGTTTCGGAATTTTTTTTTGGATTTTAGAATATTTGCATCTACATGAGATATCTTGGGGATGAGATCCAAGTCTAAATGTAAATTCACTTATGTTTCATATATCTTATACACATAGCCTAAAAGTAATTTTATATAATATTTCAAATAATTTTGTGCATGAAACAAAGTTTGTGTACATGGAACCATCAGAAAGCAAAGGTGTCACTATCTCAGCTTCCATGTGGAAAATCTGTGGCTGTCTGATGTCACTGACCATCCTTTTTGACTCTGAATTTATATGCTACTGATGAGCAATCATTTTCACACACTTATTCACACATAAGTAAAAATATGGCATGCCATTAATACAGTAAAAAATAATAAGCAACACAGTAGCATCACCAGAATACCTGCATCAGCTGTTAAACAGCTGTACAAACAATGGCAAGCTTTCAGGCTCCACCTACAAGGCTGTGTTTTGATTAAAAGGTTACTGTGCATTGTATTTTTTTCTTTTTTTTAGGTGAGAAGAAATATCAGAAGAGTTGAGCAACTAGGAGGTGAGTCCTCTGAGGCTGAGGAGGCATTCTGCCAGATGGCTTTTTATAATGTTTCTCCAGAGGCATCTGTCTCATTATCAATGGCTTTTGTCTTGGAAGTCTCTCTTTAATTTTATAAACTGACATGACCTCTTGTTCTGTTATGAATGCAGGTAGCTTTAGTCCTTCAATATCTTCAATATCTCTATCACACATTTTCACCATGTCATCTATACCTTTACACTACAGTCCAATTTCTCCAACAGCTTGACTTTCTGTGTTATAAGTATTTCTACTTTTCCTTATCGTTGCTGCTCGTAGGGATATCTACAGGTCTTATTGACATTTTCAGTATGTTAACATCACAGAGCAGAGAATAAGCAAAAATACACAATGGGTAATGCACTTAGGTCCCGTCTGTGGGGATCCTGCCTTTGGCGTGTCCAGCTTGCACATGTGCCATTCTGTGACCCTTTTTGGGTGTACTTACATGGGGAAATCTGAGCATGTGTACAAAAGTTATACTGCAGCTGAAGGGGGCTGAGAGGGTCTTTTTTCACTAGAGAACATCAAATAAACTGTGTGTTGTTCACCTGCATTTTGACTCGGACATCAAAATCCACATGTAGTGTCATGTCAGTGCTCAAAAAGTTTCAGATTTTGAAGCATTTCAAATTTCAGATTTTCAGATTAGGGATGCTCAACCTCTAAATTTAAGTTAAGGTAATAGGTTGCTTGGTCGCCATGACATTAAAAAATGTGTCTTCTGCAACTGTAAAGTTTGAGAAGACAGTATTGGCTAAGAAGTTCCTCCAGTTCAGCTTCAAAGACCTAGGTATAAAAATGTAAAGCAAAGAGACAGACATCATTTGGCATCATTCCCTGAAAAATAAATGGCTCCATCACAATAACAGATACATGATCCAAAACAAAGCTGCTTGTCCTCAGGGGTGGATGACAATGTCCAGTGCTCCCACCACGGCAGTAGCATTAAAACTACTCCTCACTGAGAGATAAAATGATGGTGGCACTTTATTAGTCTGCATGCCCCAAAGCAACAGCAAAGGGACTGTCTGCCACTGCATGCAGAGTAAGAAAGTTTGATTAGGATACTCCCCAATTCTGACACTCTCCACCATCACTGGCAAACTATGAGGATGAAAAGTCCTTGATGTATTGCTCTTTGTATGTCATACTCACATTTTTGGCTGACATTAGAGAAAGAAGAGGTTTAAATCAGGTGGAAATCCTAGGTTAAGTTTAAAACATGTTTTCAAATCTCAAAAAGTAAACCTATTGTGTATGTGTGTGACCCATAAATACGCTTCGCACTCCATTCAGCTCACTCCATAATTTGTGAACATTTTGTCTGTAAGCCCTCAATGTAACTGTCCAAAAATGGGCTTTGCCTACAGTGACTATAAAGCCACAACCTGGTCACCCGTCTCTGCTCTATCAGGGATGATCTGTAACTAGCAGGTGGGGTCTGGAAACAGTCTTCTGCTGACTGTCCAGGGCTGAATTGCCTGAAGGGTAAGTGACCATAAAGCATGGAAAACTGTCATTAGCTGAAAAAAATAAACCCAGCACCTAGGACAATAGATACATGCCATATACTCTCAAATAGATGACGGGTCTCCAGCTTGTTTTCTGCCTCTTAGGAGCTTATAAAACTAAAGTTCACAATTAATGGGGAAGGGAGGAGACAGATGATCTTCATTGCCTTAGTTACAAACTTGCTTTGGTCTATGCTGATCCTGTGTTAAACTGTGAAATAGAATCTATCATCCTGGCTCTCAGAGGCCCTTGACTTCACCCTTTTAGTGCTTTTCTTACTTATTTTCAAACCTTCACCTCTCTCACATTGAAAATCACAACTCCTAATACCCTCTCTAAAAAACTACCCCTTCCCACCAACTACCACCACCTACCTCACTCTATCATCTAAATCTGTTTCAAGTATAAAAATCTTGGTAATTTATATCTTAACACCAATTACATACTAACTTTTCAAAAAGCAAGTTAAGCCTGATTCTAATTGTGGGATGAAAAGTTTTTTCCCTATGAATAAATTTTAAATATCATCAAGCATGTTGAGAGGTGCTAGCGAGGGCATGGAGCAAGGAATCAAATTCCATAGGTGATTGTTTTCTCTATCTTTGTATAAAAATGTCCTTGTCCCAATTAAAGCCTCCAGCAAGTATAAAAAGAAAGCGTTTGGTGATATTAGCAAGCAACAGTTTCCCAAATCTACCTTGCCCGCCTCTTTGGCCTAAACTCTGCAGGTAATTTATTCAAAAAAGAGAAGGGTCCTTTGGGTAACAGATGTATCACTTCCTACTCTCTTAAACCAAACTCCGATGCTGCATCTTAGATAAAAGCCCTCAAATCTGGCCTCCTGAAGTCATGCTGTCATTTAACTTGACTGCAGGCCCCTGATACTCCCCTGCAGGGAGAGAGTCTGCTCTTTGCCCCAGCCTTTACCCCATTCCTACTTTCTTTCACTCAGTCCCCCTCCACTCCCAGCACACCTCTGGCTGTATTTTATTATTAGTAGTAAACTTTATTTTTATCAAAAAGAGGGTAGGGGGTATTTTTGAGCTTATGTTGCAGAATACTTTATATAAGCCTAAAATATACATTCTGTTCATTAGATTTCTAGCTGCCCCAACTACATAAACTGAGAGGCTTGGTAGAAGCAATGGAACAAACTTCTCTAGTTTTACAAATATAACATTTGACTAATTTAGAACAGAAATTAATTATTTTCAAAATATTTAACTTCTTTTAGCTTTTTAGAAAAAAAAACTGTCTGAGTAAAACAGGGCACTTCCTATTTCATTTAAGGAGAAAGTCAAGCTGATAATGCCATCATACTGCCTAGCTTTCTCATGCATATGACACTGATTTGACTTAGAAAGAAAAAAGTTTTAATACTCTCTTCTACTTCCCACTAGCAGGAAATTCCATTCTTGCCTTTCCTTTTCACCATTTCATCTACAATCACCTAGAAAAATGATGTCTGGTGCATATTAGGCCCTTAATAAAGGAATAAAGAAATGTGTGAAAGGAATTTCTTGAATAACTATTTTAAAACTTTTTGAACAAGAAGACTGTTATTAAGAGTGTTCCCGTGAGCAGGCAACAAACAATGACAAAAGCTATTATTCAGAGATAAAAATGTCCAAAACATGGTTAGGGTATAACTCTCTATCACTGCATGACAGGTATCTATCAAGAAGTCTCAGAAAAAATACCAAGAAACATCACAACCAAATGCATGAATCTTGAATGAAATCTGGCTCTAAACAAACAAATACCAGCTATAAAGATATTCTTGGTAGCACTTTGAGGGGCCAAGGTGAGCAGATTGCCTGAGCTCAGGAGTTAGAGACCACCCTGGGCCCAGTCTTTACTAAAATACAAAAAATTAGCCAGCCATGGCGACAGGTGGGCCTGTCATCCCAGCTACTCAGGAGGCTGAAGAAGGAGAATCGCTTGAAACCGGGAGGCAGAGGTTGCAGTGAGCTGAGATTGCAACACTGCACTCCAGCCTGGGTGATGAAGTTGAGACTCTTGTCTAAAAAAAAAAAAAATTCTCCAGACACTTAGGGAAATTTAAGTATTAACTGGATATTAGGTGGCATTATGTTTTTTTTTCTTTTTTGAGACAGAGTCTTGCTCTGTCTCCCAGGCTGGAGTACAGTGGCTCAATCTTGGCACACTGCAAGTTCCACCTTCCAGGTTCACACCATTCTCCTGCCTCAGCCTCCCGAGTAGCTGGGACTACAGGTGCCCACCACTAGGCCTGGCTGATTTTTTTATTTTTGTATTTTTAGTGGAGACGGGGTTTCACCGTGCTAGCCAGCATGGTTTCGACCTCCTGACCTCGTGATCCACTCACCTCAGCCTCCCAAAGTGCTGGGATTACAGACGTGAGCCACCGCACCCAGCCAGGTGATATCATGGATTCTTAGGTTTAATAATAGTATTGATGTTATGTAGAAAAATGTCCTTATTCTTAGGACATAAATGCTTATATATTTAGGAGTGTCACAAAACCTGCACCATACTCTCAAATGTGTTGGCAAAAAACTGTGTGTGTGTGTGTGTGTGTGTGTGTGTGTGTGTGTGTAGAAAGAAAAATCAAGGAAATATGGCAAAACATTAATGATTATTCAATCTAGGTGCTCACTATTCTGTTCTTTTCTGTATGTTAGAATTTTTTTCAAAACAAAAAGCTGGGGAGAAGGAGAAAAAATTCTAAGAGTCAAAGAAACTGTGTAATCCCCATTTTTATCACTTTTTTTTGTGACCAAGTGATTTCACTCACCATTTTATTCATCAGTTCCCTATCTACATACTTAGAGCAAATGAGATAACATAGAATGCTTTGCAAAGTAAAAAGCATGATACAGAATATATAATGTCATCGTAACCAACAAGCTCTGAAGTTTAATCACATCCAGACCTCTTGCTTCTTTTTCCCTACCTTCTTATGGTTGTAGATTTCACCACTGTAACAGAGCCACATATATGGATATGTCTTCACTTAAATTGTCTGCATTCCAAACAAACAGCGGGTCAACTACCACCAATGGGTGAAATCCAAAGCAGCAGCTGGTGTATCCATTAACATTCTCAAAACAGGATGCATCTGGACCCCTGTGTGCACTCTTCATAGCACACAGACACTAAACAGAAAGGCAGTCATTGCTGCCAAACAGGACCCAAATGCCACACACAGTGCAATGAAGCTATAAACTCCCTATGGAGAGAAAAGTAGACAAATAAAAAATATTCAATATCCAATCCAAGTCTGCATTAAATCTTGATTCCAGAAACGTGCGTAAACCACTTCAAAGACTAAAATTTAAACCATCTTTTCTATAGCGATTTCCCATTTGGTTGGCAGGCATACAGGAGTAGAGAATGATTTAATTTACTTACAAGTATTCAGAAAAGATAGTGACCTCTACATTCAACCAGCTACAACAGCTTAGCACCCAGCCAAAGCCTGCATCTCTCCCACCTTAAGATTTAGTGGTTGGCTAGAGTTAGCAGCATCCAGGCCACATCTATCTCTGCATTCTATGTTTGCTTCCAAGATAAAGATACAAATGCAGGCTGGCTCCAACCTAGCCAGAGATCCCAGCCCCACTCTCTGCATCCCAAAATCCCTCAAAGACCCAAGAGACTTTCTAGATTTCTACAGTCTCCTCACAGGTTCCCTTGACAGTTAAATGCCCTCTCTTTACCTCAACTAGCTGCAGGTAGAATATAATGGGTACAACAGAAAATCACTGTAAGTGTAATATGTAGATACACAGCCCTTTTAAACATTTCATTATATTACATCTAGCTTACTTCTAAGTGATTTATTCAGATGTGACTGAAGAAAGTCTAAAGGGAAAAAAAGCAATTTAATTTGATAAATTAAATTATCAATTATAGCCAAATTATTTGGCTATAACAAATTAAACATTTTAAGCTGACAGAAGATGCAAACATTTTAAGTTGACAGAAGATATAAAATGTTCACTATCAAAATGTTGCAACTGATAAAAATGTTCTCAAATATTTCTGTCTCAAACTTGCATTGTTCATTAAGGAAGCAAAATAGGTGGGACATACACAGCAACAACATCCCTCAAAAAACAACTTGGCTCATTCCTATAAGCCAGGCAGCAAATACATCATCCTTACATATGTTAATTACCTTCCAATTTCAAATTCTCAACTGTGAAATAAAGGGCCATTTTATTTGGCTGCTGCCAGTTCAATATGACTGTTTTTATTAAAACATCTCTAACTTGAGAAATATTTGGTGTTTTCTAAAAAACTGCAAATTGCAGCAAATGGCCAGGTAATTTGGAATAAACACCCTACAGAAAAAATATATATTCAAGTTGCATAAGTCACTTTGAGCAATCCTTTGAGGATATTTCATTTATATCTAAATGAACCTCAGGTTTAGCTGGCTTTTCCGGAAAACCAGAAGCAAATAATGTATGATTATAATGAAAACCATCTCAAGCAATTTGGAAATGAAGTACCACATGTCTTATGCTGTCCCTTCCATACACTTGACAAAACAGCCTATAACAAATTGTTTACTTTGAGATTTAGCAGGAAAATTCCATGAGATTTAAATGAGATGACTACTAATAAGCCATCTACCTTTGACTCTATTCCTATTAAAAATGGGTTAGGAAAGTGCTTTCAAAATCAAGTGTGTTCATCAGGGAATCATTTACCTAAGTCTTCTTAACACTGCTTAGTGAATATTAAGCCTGATATAGTAAATACACGCTAACCACTAAATTGAAGGGGAAAGAGGGAGAACAAAGAGGCATGTAAAGTACACTTACTTTTTCTAGTAGGAAAAAGCCAATTAAAACTATCACCTATTAGTTATATTGGAATCAGTCTTACAGGAGGACAAACTTCCTACTGTCGCTACCTATTCTCAATATTTTTCTTATTTCTTCCTAAACTTGTGGAGCCGTGTTGTCCAATAAATATGTGAGCCATGTACATAATTTTAAATGTACTAGTAAGCCCCATTAAAAGAAAATGTGAAATTAATTTTAAATATACTTAACTCAGTATGTCCCAAATAGTAATCATAGTAATAATTTTAACATGTAATCAATATAAAAAAATCAAGCAGATATTCTACACTGTTCTTCCCACTCCAATGACAAAATCCAGTGTATTTAACATAACACATCTCAATTAGGACTAGCCAGGATTCCAAGTGCTCAACAGTTACAGGTGGCTAGCACCTACTGAATTGGACACTGCAGTTTCAGTGCATTGAATTTCTATCCCACTTAGCACTAATTAAAACTTCACCCTCTCACCTGACAATTATGCTAAGATCTCAGTAAGTAACCAACTACAGGCAGTTTCAAGCCCTACTTTACCTCTAATTACTCTTACAGCAATGCAATGAATCATGATTTAAAATTTAAAAAAAAAAACTGCTGTTAAATTATTAGTCAAGCGCCCAGGGCAATGGACAGTAAAGAAATAATGTAGGCCATGGGTCGAGATGACAAAACGGTCCTTTTATTTAAAGCTATAACAATAATCTGAAGCCAGCCCTGTAAAATAGACATCCATTGAAAAAGGCATGCTAGTTCTTTTGCTTTTTTGTGTACTTGGCCTCCTGTGTCCCTAAACAGACCTCTTCTCAGCAGGGTTTGCTCAGCAAGTCACTTGTTGAGTCTTGCAGTCTACACAGGGGGTGGGGAATGGCAGGGGCTGGCATAAGAGTGAGAGGGGAGGAGGCAAGGTGAGGGGGGCCAGGGGAGGAGGCAAGGTGAGGGGGGCCAGGTGAGGAGGGGGAACTTGAAGGGGAGTTCAAGACCAGCCTGGGCAACATGGTGAGACCACCGCCCCTCACCACCGCCATCTCTGTTCTCACTCTAGTCTCACACACATGCACAAATTAAATTTAATTTAAAAATTAAAAAATTGTCTTAAAATAAGTGAAATATTTACATGGTTTATGTATACATTCATTTTGTAGAACTATAGATCCCATGTAACTGGGAACTCTTTACTCTTCTAACACAACATTTATTTAGCCACAAATAAAAGAAGACCAGTGATGTAGCCTGTACACAAAAAAGTAAGAAAGCACTAGTTAGGCTGGGGCAGGGGTGGGGGGAAGAGATCTACAAAATTAAAATTTTATTGGGAAGGATCACTAATTAGAATCAGAACAATTACTGCTCTAAAGTAGTTAAGAACAGAGCACAAGGAACCCAGAGAAGAAGCAGATATGATTCAGAGCAGAGCTCACAGAGCAGATGGTATCTGAGCCGAGACTGATAGAATAACATTAATAAGGGCATTCACGGCCATTTATTATCACTTAACTGCAATGCATTTTGTATAAGTTATTTCTACTCTTCATATCGACCATGGAAAATAATACTTATTCTTCTCTTTTGAAGGAAGTGGTAAGTGGTCTAAGAAGATAAATTAACATACCAACACCAAATAGCTCAAGTTCAGTGACTCAAGAGTGCCCGCGTCTCCCCAAGAGGTTGCTCAGCAGGCAGACGAGGTAGAGAGCCATTCCAAGAAGTGAGAGTGAGATGTGAAAGGTCTCAGTGTGTCTCTGAGAACAACAGAAATCAGTAAGTAGACCAAGTGGGAAAAGCCACGGAAGAGGCAGGGATTTCCTCTTAAGAGAGCAAGAATAAACAGAGCAAGGCTGAGGGAAGCCATGGAAAATGGGCAGAATACCATGCATTTAGCGAGAAAAAAAACAACTTTTAATTTAGAAAGGGGGAAAGAATGGTGGTGGTCTAGGTAAGCCTAGAAGCAGAGGAAAGGGCAGTGGAGAAAAAATAAACAAAATGTATTAGTTAGGGTTCTCCAGAGGGACAGATCCAACAAGATACACGTATATGTATAAGGGAGTTTACGAGAGAGAATTGGTTCACACGGTTAGAAGGCAGTCCCACAATAGGCTGTCTGCCAGGTAGGGAAAGAGAGAAGCTAGTAGTGGCTCAGTCCAAGTCCAAAAGCCTCAAAACCAGGAAAGCCCGCAGTGCAGTCTTCAGTCTGAGGCCGAGGGCCTGAGAGCCTCGGGGAAGCTGCTGGTGCAAGTCCCAGAGTCCAAAGGCATAAGAACCTGGAGTTTCATGTCCAAGGGCAGGAAGAAGGGAAGCAAGTGTCCTGCACGGGAAGAAGAAAAAAAGAGAGCCAGAAGCTACAGCTAGCAAGGTTATCCCACCTTCCTCTGCCTGCTTTGTTCTATACAGTGCAGCGTGTGTGCACCACTTCTGTGATATTGTTCCTAATATCCATGGGAAGAAAGGGTGATGCTATTCCCAATAGCTCATGGGGGTGTACATCCCCTGTGATATTATTCCTAGTATGCAGGGGCAGGGAAAGGATGACATTACTCCCAATATCGCAGACAGTGTTCTCCCTGCCTTGTGATATTTTTCCTAATATTTAGGGGATAGTGGGTGATATTACTCCCAATATCACAGGGGGTGTGCACCCCCCGTGGTATTCTTCCTAATATCCAGGGAGGCGAGAGGTTGATATTACTGTCAATGTCACAGAGGGTGTACATCCTCCCGTGGTATTGTTCTTAATATCTGGGGGGGGGGAGAGGAAATTACTGTCAATATCACAGGGGGTGTAGACCCCTTCGGTGATATTGTCACTAATATCTGGGGGGAGAGGATGATATTACTGTCAAAATCGCAGGGGGTGTACACCCCCCCGTGGTATTGTTCTTAATATCCGGGGGGGGAGAGGAAATTACTGTCAATATCACAGTGGGTGTACACCTCTTCTGTGATACTGTTCCTAATATCCGGGGGGGAGAGGATATTACTGTCAATATCGCAGGGAGTGTACAACGCTTCTGCGATATTGCTCCTAATATCCGGGGGGGAGAGGATATTACTGTCAATATCACAGGGGGTGTACACCCCTTCTGTGATATTGTTCCTAATATCCAGGTGGGGAGAGGATCATATCACTTTCAATATCGCCAAGTGTGTACATCTCCCTTGTGATATTGTTCCTATATTTAGGGGATAGTGGATGATATCACTGTCAATATCGCAGGGGGTGTGCACCCCCCCATGGTATTCTTCCTAATGTCCAGCAAGGGAGTAAACACAACTACTCCCAATATGGCAGGGGGTGTACACGTCCTATGTGATACTGTTCCTATATCCATGGGGGAAAAGGATATTGGGAACAATATTACAAACAATATCACAGGAGGGTGTTCACGTCCTGCGATATGAGGAGTAATATAACCCTCTCCCCCTCTGGATATTACAAACCTTATCACAGAGGGGTGTAAACCCCCTGGGATGTGGAAAGTAGTATCATCCTCTCCCCCACTGGATATTACAAACAATATCACAGACGGTGTACACATGAGGTGTTTACGATATTGGGAGTAATATCATATCCCCCAGTGGATATTATGAACAATATCACAGAGGGGTGTATACACACTCTGCCTTATAGGGAGTAATATACTCCTCTCCCACCCTGGATATTACATCACAGGGAGTTGTACATCCCCTGTGATACAGGGAGTAATATCATCCTTTCCCAGCCTGGATATTACAAACAATATGGCAGGGGGCAGTACACCCTGGCGATATGGGTAGTAACATCATCTCCTCCCCGCATGGATATTACAAACAATATTCTAGGGGGTTGTACACCCCCTGCAATATGGGGAGTAACATCATCCTCTCCCCTACTAGATATTATAAACAATATCGCAAAGGGGATGTACACTTCCTGCAATAAAAGGAGAAATATCATTCTCTCCCCCCAGATATATTATGAACAATATCGCAGGGAATTGTTTTCCCATGTTATAAGGGGAGTAATATCTTCATCTTCCCCCTGGATATTACGAAAAATAACGCAGGGGAATGTAAATCTCCTGCGATATGGGGAGTAAAATCATTCTCTCTGGCCAGGCGCGGTGGCTCACACCTGTAATCCCAGCACTTTGGGAAGCCGAGGCGGGTGGATCACGAGGTCAGGAGATCGAGACCATCCTGGCTAACATGGTGAAACCCCGTCTCTACTAAAAATACAAAAAATTAACCGGGCGCGGTGGCAGGCGCCTGTAGTCCCAGCTACTAGGGAGGTTGAGGCAGGAGAATGGTGTGAACCTGGGAGGTGGAGCTTGCAGTGAGCCAAGATCAGGCCACTGCACTCCAGCCTGGGCGACAGAGCAAGGCTCTGTCTCAAAAAAAAAATAAATAAATAAAATCATTCTCTCCCTCCCTGGATATTGTGGACAATATCACAGGGGAGTGTACAATGAGTTTCTAGAATATATTTGAGGAGGGTGAAGGGCGGTGTGTGCGTGCTTCATGGCCTTATTCGATTAAACACTCTGCTCTCAATTTATTGCTAAATCCTCCTTGAGCCCTTAGATTTCATAACGGTTGTCGCGAGATTTTTCTGGATGTAGAAAACATACCTATTTCTTGCCACCTCATGGGCTACACCTTGACCTAACGTTTTTATGTAGATACTTGTGCTTACTCTGTGGCCTTTCCAGGGTTTGCTGAAGATGGAGGTATATAGGCTGGGCAAGAGGTGGTGAGGTAAATTGGGGTTTATCGATTATAGAACAGGCTCCTTTAGAGGGATATAAAGCACCGCCAAGTCCTTTGAGTTTTAAGCTGTTGCTTGTAGTGTTCTGGTGAACAGTTTTGTTGATCTAACTATTCGAGTTTAGGGTTAAGCATAGCGGGGTATCTACTCCCAGTTTGGATCTTAGCTATTTTGTCTTCAGAATATTAAAGGCACTTTCGTAGTTATTTCAGCTGGGGTTTTTTTACAACTTTTTTACAATTTATTTAGAAACTTTCAGGTTTCTAAATATATGAATGAACCATAATATAAGCCTTGGCCAATACAATGCGGGTTAGGCCTCCTACTGTAAAAAGGAAAATAAATCCCCAAGCTCACAGCATTGCGGGGGATCATTTGATATTACTACTGTGAAGTGTCGCTAGCTAGTCAGCTATAAACTTTGACGCTAGTAGGAATAGCAATAATTATAATAGCAGAGGTTAAGCAGGCTCATGTATCCACATCTATCCGTACCGTAAATATATGGTGGGCCCATACAATAAACCGTAAGAACCCAACTGATCCTATAGCACACTAGGCCCATATAGCTGAATGGTTCTTTTTTTTTCAGAATAGTATGTTACGGCGTGGGAAATTATCCCAAAGCCCAGTGGGATGAGGATTTAGACTTCAGGGTGACCAAAGAATCTGAATAAATGCTGACATAAGATAGGATCACCTCCACCAGCCAGGTAGAAAAAAGTAGTATTCAGATTGTAGTCAGTCAACAATATAGTGATGCCGGAGGCTAGGACTCGTAGACAAAGGAGTAGAAGAACTGCTGTAATTAGGACTAATCAGATGAAGAGGGGTGTGTGATATTGGGACATGGCTGGGGGTTTTATATTAACAATTGTGATAATAAAGTTAATAGCCTCTGAAGTAGAAGAAACACCTGCCAAGTGGAGTGAAAAGACAGTGAAATCTACAGAGGCGCCTGCATGTGTTAGGTTTCCTGCTAAGGGAGGAGAGACTGTTCAGCCGGTTCCAGTGCCGGCTTCTACTATAGTGGATGCAAGTTATAATAGGAAGGAGGGTGGGAGGAGTCAGAAGCTCATATTATTTATGCAGAGAAATGCTATATCGGGGGCGCCAATTATCAGGGGGACTAATCAGTTGCCAAGACCTACAATTATAGTATTACTATAAAGAAAATTATGACAAATGCATAGGCTATAACAAGACAAATTTGATCATCTAGTAGAATTCAGCTCGAATAAGGCTTAAAGCTGTTCTGACTATCCCTGCTCATGTGCCAAATAATAAATATAATGTCCCGATATCTTTATGGTTGGTTGAGAATAGTCAACTGTCAGCCAACATAAATTAAGTGAGAAAAAAGGGTAAAATGACTGAGTAGGGCATTAGACTGTACATCTAAAAACAGAGGTCAAGGCCTGTTTTTACCAGTCCCGAGGTGATTTTCATGTTGAATTGTAAATTCAAAGAAGCAGCTTCAATCCTGCTTCTCTCACCTTTATTCCCCCAGCGGCTGGAGAAATAGATTCAAACCAGTTGACTAGGGAGTTCAGCTGTTGAGTTTTCGTGGGTTTAAGTCTCATCAATTTGTAAGGACTTAGCTTACTTAAAGTGATTGATCTGTATTCAATTGATCAAGGGTGATCTGTATCTGAGAAAGTACATTTCAGGGCCACCATACAACAACTGTTCAAAAAGGCCTCCAATATGGGATAGTCCTATTTATTATCTCAGAAATATTTCTCTTCGCTGGATTCTTTTGAGCATTCTACCATTCTAGCCTAGTCCCTACTCCAGAATTAGGAGGACATTGACCCCCAACAGGTATTTCTCCCCTTGACCACCTGGAAGTACCTCTCCTGAATCCATCTGTATTACTTGCATCAGGAGTTTCAATTACTTGAGCCCATCACAGCCTAACAAAAAATAATCAAAAACATACAATCCAAGCACTACTTATTACAATTATATTAGGTATTTACTTCACCCTCCTACAAGTCTCAGAATACTTCAAAGCTCCCTTTGCTATTTCTGATGGTATTTATGGCTCAATATTTTTTATAGCTACAGGCTTTCACAGACTTCACGTCATTATTGGATCAACATTCCTCAGTCTGCCTTCTCCGCCAATTAAAATACCACTTTACATCTAGTCATCACTTTGCCTTTGAAGCCGCTGCCTGATATCGACACTTTGTAGATGTAGTATGACTATTCTTGTATGTTTCTATTTATTGATGAGGATCTTACTCTTTTAGTATAAATAGTACCATGATTTCCAAAGTTTCGATAGCATCCGAAAAACAGTAATTCGCCTAACATTAACCCTAGTAATCAACACCCTATTAGACCTGTTACTAATAATTATTACATTTTGGCTCCAACTTCATATATATAGAGAGAGAGAGACAGAGAAAAATATATATATGTATAAAATAAACATATATAGAAAAGTCTAGCCCTTATGAATGCAGATTTGACCCTCTATCCTCTGCCCACATTCCCTTCTCCATAAAATTCTTTCTAGTAGTCATCACATTTCCCCTATTTGAGTTAGAACTCGCCCTACTACTACCCTTACTGTGAGCCCTTCAAACAATCTGATACTAATAATCCCTGTGATATGTGTAGTGACTTCATACTTCACCTCCCCCCGGATATTATGGCCAATATCAGAGTGGAGAGTGCACCCCTGCAATATGGGGAGTGACATCATCCTCTCCCCACTGGATGTTATGGACAATATCACAGGGGGTTTACTTTCTCTGCGATATGGGGAATAATATCCTCCTGTCCCCGCCTGGATGTTAGACATATTTACAGGGGGGTGTCCACCCCCTGTCATATGGGGAGTAGTAATATCCTCTCCTGCCCTGGATGTTATGGACAATATATAGGGAGATGTACAATCCCTTCGATATGCGAAGTAATATCATCCTCCTCCCCCTAAACGTTACGAACAGTATCAGAGGGGGGTGTACACCCCCTGCGATATCTGGAGTAGTATCATCCCCTTCTTCCCTAAATGTTACAGAGACTATCACAGGGGTGTGTACACCTTCTGAAACATGGGAATAATATTCTCTTCCCCTCTGGATGTTATGGACAACACTACAGCCGTGTGTACACCCTCTATGATATGCGGAGTAATATCATCCTCACCCCCCCCGGATGTAAGTGACAATACCACAAACGGGTTTACATCCCCCGTGATATGGGGAGTAATATCATCCTCTTTCCCACTGGATATTAACAATATCACACGGGGATGTACAACCCCTGTGATATTGGGAAAAATATCTTCTAATCCACTGAAAATTATAAACAATATCACCAGTGTACACTCCCTGTGATATTGGAAGTAATATCATCCTCTAATCCCCTAAAAATTATGAACAGTATCACAGGGGAGTGTATACTTACTACTATATTGGGAGTAATATCATCCTGTCCTCTTCTAAATATTATGAACAATATTACAGGGGATGTAACACTCCCTGCGATATGTGGAGTAATATCATCCTCTCCTCCCCTAAATATTGTGAACAATATCGCAGGAAGTTGTACACAACCTGCAATATTGTTTGTAGTATCCAGTGGGAAAGAGGATGCTATTACTCCCCATATCACGGGGTGTACACCCCCACTGTGATATATTCAATAACATCCAGAAGTAATATTACTGACAAAATTGCAGGGGGTGTAAACCCCACCTGTTATACTGTTCCTAATATCCCGGGGAAGAGAGGATGATATTATTCCCAATATTGCAGGGGGTGTACACCCACCCTATGATATTGTTCTTAATATCCAGGAGGGGAGACAATGGTATTACTCACAGTATCAAAGAGGTTGTACAGCCCCCCTGTGATAGTTTCTAATATCCAGGGGGTGTACACCCCCCTTGTGATATTGTTCCTAATATGTAGGGGGAAGGACAATGATATTACTGTCCATATCACAGGGGGTGTACAACATGCCCCCCAGGATATCATTTCTAATATCCATGGGAAGAAAGAATATTACAATATCGCAGAAGTTGTACACCCCCTCTGTGATATTGTTCCTAATATCAAAGACGGAAGGGTATGATGTTCTTCCCAAAATCACAGGGAGTGTACACACACCCTGTGCTATTTTTCCTAATATCGAGAGTGAGAGACAATGATACTTCCAATATCGTAAGGAGTGTACACTCTCCCCGTGATACCAGGTGGGGAAATGTTGATATTACTCCAAATATCGCAGTGGGTGTACACACGTTTTGCGATATTGTTCCTAATATCAAGTTGGGGGGAGGATTGTATTACTCCCAACATATTACTCCCCACACCCCATTATACTGTTCTTAATAACCAGATTTGGAGAGGATGATATTACTCCCAAAATCTCAGGAGTTGTAGACCCCTTCTGTGATACTGTTTCTTATATCCAGGGGAAGACTAGATGATAATACTCCCAACAGTACAGGGTGTTACACGCCACCCCCCATGATATTGTTTCTAATATTAAGTTGGGGAGAGGGTGATATTACTCCCAATAGTGCAAAGGGTGCACACCAGCCCTGTGATATTATTCCTAGTATCCAGAGGAGGAGAGAATGGTATTATTTTTAATATCACAGAGAGTGCACACCCCCCTTGTGATACTGCTCCTAACATCCAAGGGGTAGAGGATGAAATTACTCCCAATATCACAGTGGGTATACAGCTCCCCGTGGTATTGTTCCTAATATCCAGGGGGGATAGGATGATAGTACTATAAATATTGCAAAGGGTGTACACCCCTTCTGATATTGTTACTAATATCCGTGGGGGGAGTCGATGATATTACTTCCAATATCACAGGGTATGTACACTCCCCTTGTGATATTGTTCCTAATATCCTGGGAGGAGACTACGATATTACTGGCAATATCGCAGGGTGTGTGCATTCCAGTGATATTGTTCCTAATGTCCAGCAAGGGAGAAAATATTACTCCCAATATGGCGGGGGTGTACACTTCCCATGCGATATTGTTCCTAATATCCATGGGGGAAAAGGATGATATTACTCTAAATGTCGCAGGAGGTGTAAACTGCCCCTGTGATATTGTTCTCAATATCCATGGGGGGAGAGAATGATATTACTCCCAATATCACAGGTGGTGTACACCCCTCCTGTTATATTATTCCTAATATCCAGTTTGGGAGAGAATAATATTACAGATAAAATCGCAGGGGGTGTACACTCCGCCTGTGATATTGTTCCTAATATCCCAGGGAAGAGTGAACAATATTACTCCCAATATCGCAGGATGTGTACACACCCTTTGTGGTATTGTTCCTAATATCCATAGGGGGAGAGGGTGATACCACTCCCAATAGTGCAGAAAAGGTACAGCCCCGCTGTGATATCATTCCCAATATCCACAGGGGAGTGGATGATATTATTCCCAATATCGCAGAGGGCATACACCCCTCCCCGTGATATTGTTCGTAATACCCAGGGGGTAGAGGATGATATTACTCCCAATATCGCAGTGAGTGTACACCCACCCTGTGATATTGTTCCTAATACCCATGTGGAAAGGGTATAAAGTTACTCCCAATATCACAGGGGATGTACAACTCCCTTGTGATATTGTTCCTAATATTCGGGGGAGAGACAATGATATAGCTGTCCGTATTGCAGGTGGTGTACAATCCCCTGGGAATTTGTTCCTAATATTCGGTGGGGAAGATGATATTAATTAAAATGTCATGGGGGTATACAACCCCTTTGTGATATTATTCCTAATATCCAGGGAAAGAAAGAATATTATTCCCAATATCACAGGGGATGTACACCCCTCTCTGATACTGTTTCTAATATCCCTGGGGGGAGTCTATAATATCACTGGCAATATCATAAGGAGTGTATACCCCCCGTTATATTGTTCCTTATGTCCAGCAAGGGAGAAAATATTAATCCCAATATGGAACAGGGTGTACACACCCATGAGGTATTGTTCCTAATATCCAGGGAGGGAAAGGATGATATTACTCCCAATGTTGCAGTGGTGTATAACCCCCCCGTGATATTGTTCCTAATATCTAGGTGGGGAAAGTACAGTATTACTCCCAATATAGCAGGGGTTGTACACCGCCTTTGTGATATTGTTCTAAATATACATGGGGAAAGAAAATGATAGTACTCCCCAATATCGCAGGTGGTGTACAACCCCTTGTGATACTGTTTCTAATATCCATGTTGGGGGAGGATATTACTCCCAATATTGCACGTGTTGCACAGACCCCCTTTGATATTGTTTGTACTATGCAGGGTGTGGGGGGAGAGGATGATATTGGGAGTAATATCACCCTCTCTCCCCAGATATTAAAAGCAATATTCAGGGTGGTCGACACCTCCTGCAATATTGAGTATAATATCCTCTCCCAACCTGGATATTAGGAACAATATCACAGTGGCAGGTACACTCCCTTCCTTTCACCATATACAAAAATCAACTCAAGATGGATGAAGGACTTATGTAAGACCCAAAACTATATAAACCCTAGAAGAAAACTTAGGAAATATAATTCTGGACATAGACGCTGGCAAAGATTTCACGATGAAGACTCCAAAAGCAATTGCAACAAGAAGAATTGACGAGTGGGACCTCATGAAACTAAAGAGCTTCAGCACAGCAAAAGAAACTATCAACAGAGAACACCCTACAGAACAGAAGAAAATATTTTCAAATTACATATCTGAAAAATGTCTAATACTCAGCATGTATAAAGAATCAATAAGCAAAAAACAAACCCACTACAAATAGGCAAAGAACATGAACCCCCACATTCACCATCCTCAAGTCCATGTGCAACTTCTTTCTGGATGCTGGACAAGGACTTGGGTACCAAGAGGGCACTGAATGGGTTAACACTTAAGCTGTCTGTGGATTCTTTTTTCAAAAGACAATGTATGTGTGGCAAACAACCATATGAAAAAATACTCAACATCACTAATCATCAGAAAATCAGAACCATGAGATACCATATCACACTGGTCAGAATGGCTATTATTAAAAAATCAAAACATAACAGACAGTGCTGAGTTTGTGGAAAAAAGGGAATGCTTATACACTGCTGGTGGTGATATAGAAAAGAGACAGGGAAATACTGGGTAGAAGAGAGTGGTTCCCTGGCAAAGCCCTGCCCACAAGCCTGGAAACCCATGGCCCTAAATGGGAACAGGCATTCCTGCTTTTGCACCCAAAAGTTGTCTTTCAGTTCACCATGCACCCCCTGTCCTGTACCCATATATGCCCCAGACCCCAGGCTCCAGAAGCAGACAAGCAGATGAAGAGATAAACAGAAGAGCAGAATTGCAGAATGATGTGGCAGAAAGAAGAGAAGGAGCATCTGAATGCCAAGAGGAGTTTGGCTGGCAGTGGTTGGAGAGATCAGCCTCTGGATGGCAAAGCTCCCGGGGAAGATCATCTTCCCATTCCATCCCCTTTCCAGCTCCCCATCCATCCCATTGAGTGCCACCTCCACCACTCAATAAAACCGCCACATTCACCATCCTTAAGTCTGTGTGCAACTTAATTCTTTCTGGATGCTGGACAAGGAACTGGGTACCAAGAGGGCACTGAACGGGTTAACACTTAAGCCGTCTGTGGATGGCAAAGCTAAAAGAGTGCACTGTAACACACGCCCACTTGGGCTGTGGGAGTCACAGGCACCCACCCCTAGACAGTACCATGGCCACTTGCCCTGCCTATTGCACCTGCCTGTCTGCATGCTCCCCTGCCCAGTAAGGTGTTTGACAGCACACACCATGGCCAGACAAACCACACCCCTGTTGCACATCCTGCCAAGGGGAGTCAGGGAACTCTCCAGTTTCATCAGGAATGTAAATTTGTTCAGCCACTGTGGAAAGCAGTTTGGAGATTTCTGAAATAACTTAAAACAGAACTACCATTCAACCCAGCAATCCCATTACTGGGTATATACCCAGAGGAATATAAATCATTCTGTCATAGACATATGCACGCATATTTTCATTATAACACTATTCACAATAGCAAAGACACAGAATCAACTTAGATGCCTGTTAACAGAAGACTGGATTAAAAAATGCAGCGTACATACACCATGGAATACTACACACCTATAAAATAGGATGAAATAATGTCTTTTGCAGCAACATGAATGGAGCTGGATACCATTATTCTAAGTGAATTAATGCAGGAACAGAAAACCAAACAAACACTGCATGTTCTCACTTATAAGTGGGGGTTAAACATTGAGTCCACATGGACACAAAGAAGGGAACAATAGACACAAGGTCTACTGTGGGTGGAGGGTCGGGGGGAGAGTGAGGATCAAAAAACTCCCTATTAGATACTACGCTCACTACCTGGATGACTACGTAATCTGTATACCGAATCCCATTGACACACATTTTACCCATATAATAAACCTGCACATGTACCCGCTGAACCTAAAATAAATGTTGGAAGGAAATAGTTACAACCAACTCTTGTACTATTGTGAGGAAACAATCATATGTGTTGACAAAAAATCAACTACTAATAGATTTATAATAGTATCTATGTAGTAGAAAAATATCAGATATAACTTATATACCCAAAAGTATGACTTAAAAACAGCATGACAATCTTTATGATGGGATATTGTGCAACTACTAGAAGCACATTTTCAGAGATTATTTATTAACATATGATAATGACTACATTGAGTGGTTTTTAGAAGCATGAATTGAAACCATGTATAAGCTGACTTTATTGAACTTATATATAACATTACACACACATTTACATAATTATAAAATAAGTATGCTCATGTTCATAACATTTATTTATTTATATGCATATGTAAGGCCAATAGGAAGTAATCTCTGTATCTGAGTTATTATTTCATAAATAATTTATGCTTGTTCTGTGAAAATAAAAACACTGTTATGGATCTTCCAAGTATCCTGAAAGGATGCAGTTTATAATTAAACAATAACAATTTTAGAAATAATTATTTTAAATAAGGCTATGATAAATCTGGTTTCATTGCACACTTTAACTTTGGAATATTTCATGAAGCGTCCCTTGATCACGACTCTCATATTCAGGAGTTTTTTGAGATCAAAATGGGACAATCAGTATGAATCTATTTTTTAGACATGCAAATGGATAACTTTAAATAGCAGTAGCGATATAATCAGAGTGCACAGTTGCTCTGGGACAAAACTTGGAAATGAGCATATTTTTAGATTCTTAATGTTTTACACACTTTAGCATTCCACAGCACCATAACATACTCATTTTTCTACTAAAACACCTCGGTAGAAATTCACAGTAGAGATCAGGCTTGTCCTTCATACATTAACTAATCAAGTAGGAAAGTGCAAATGAGAACACAGTGCCAAACATAGGCACCACATGGAAACAAGCATGGAACTGCCAGGAAGCCATTTTTGTAGCTTTATAGCCCAATTATATTTTTCCTAATGTATTGCAAACAAAACTTGGGGAAAAAAAAAAGAGGCAGAGAGAAAACAGGTTATATCAGCCCTATCTCACAATCCACAAGTTCATCCTATTAGAGGAGGAACTATGTAAAACAAATTTTATCTGTTGAATGTCCTATTTAGTTAATCGCAAAACTGTACGAGAACACAATTGTGACTTATTTAGCAGCTTGTTTGTTCGCTTTCCACTGGCTTCACAAATGTCCTTTGGAAAGAGAAAGTACATTTGGAACCCTGTACACCTTTTCTTTCTCCAGTACCCTCTTGTCACTTCCATCACTAAGGGGACAGAAGCAACTAGGGGCAATGCATTTGTAGCACACCTGGGTCAGAGGTATCCTCCAGGGAAGGATCAGATCTGCTTGAAAGCATGTCCTTGGAATTGGGAGGCTTCTAGTAGCTATAACATAAGCACTGATGTTTACTGTTCCCTGCCCTCCACTTTGATCACTCTGGGAAACGTTTTTTTAAAAAATCAATTGTATTGAAACATAATTTACATAAAATAAATACTCCTATTTTAAAGTGCACAGTTTGCTGAGTTTTGCCAGATGTAACCATCCAGGTGAATAAAATTGATTAAACTGATCTTTCAAATAATAAATTAACCTTGCAATCTTGCTAGAAACTTAATTTGTTCAGTTTATTATCCATTCTATGTACTGCTACATTCAATTGGTTATTATGTTTTAAGGACTTTTGAGTCTATGTTTATGAGGGATAAACATCAAAGTTGTATAATGCCTTTGTCTCGATTTGGAATCAGGGCAATACTGGGTTAATAAAATAAGATAGGAAGTGTCCCTTTAAATTCTTTTTTTTTTTTTTTTTTTTGAGATGGAGATTCACTCTTGTTGCCCAGGCTGGAGTGCAATGGCACAATTTCGGCTCTCCGCAACCTCTACCTCCCAGATTCAAGCTATTCTCCTGCCTCTGGCTCCCGAGGAGCTGGGATTACAGGCAAGCGCCACCATGCCCTGCTAATTTTGTACTTTTAGTAGAGACGGGGGTTTCTCCATGCTGGTCAGGTTGGTCTCAAACTCCTGACCCCAGGTGATCTGCCCGTCTTGGCCTCCCAAAGTGCTGGGATTACAGGTGTGAGCCACTGTGCCCAGCCCTTAAGTTCTATTTCTTAAAAAGGGTCTGTTCAAGATTGATATTATAGATACTCCTCAACTTACAATGGGCTTATGTCTTCATGAACTCATCCTAAATTGAAAATATTGTAAGTCTAAAACACATTTAATATATTTAACCTACTGAATATCATGACTTAGCCTCGCCTACCTTAAACTTGCTCAGAACACTTACATTAGCCTACAATTGGTCAAAATCATCTACCATAAGACCTATTTTAAAATATTGAGTATCTCATGAAATTTATTGAAAACTATACTGATAGTGAAAAACTGGTCACGTTGATGCTCATCATTAATGTACACAGATGAAAGCACCATTGTCAAGTCAGAAGAGCACAAGTCAAACCACCATAAGTTGAGGACTCTCTGTACTTTCTTAAATATTTGATAGAATTCACCTAAGAAACCATGCAGCCTGTAATTATAGAAATCTTTTTAAATTAAAAAAATTCTTCAATACATAGAGAAGCTATTACTTTTTCTATTTCATTTTGCATCAGTTTTAAGAATTAGTTTTACAAATAATTTCCCATGTTATTTTATTTGTCAAATGTATTGGCCTAAAGTTTTCATAATTATATTGATGTCTGTAGGTTCTGTAGTTACATCCTCTATTTAATTATCATTATCTACATTATGTAGCTTCTCTAATTTTTTTTGAGATAAATCTTGCTAGCCATTGTTTATTAAAAAAAATTTTTTCAAACAACCAATTTGTGGGTATATTAATTAGCTCCACCTTTTGTTATTTGCTATGTTGTTGGTTTACATTTTTATCTTTATCATCTTCCTTCTTCTTAATTCGAATATACTTTGCTGATTTTTTTAGCCTCTTAAAAAAGAACCTAAAGGTCATTGATTGAAGCCTTTTATTTTCAATATATTATATCTATAAATGTACCTTTAAGAAATGATTTATCTGCATCCCACATTTTATTAAGTTTTTAAAAATTTTTCTTTCAGTTTAAACTATTTTTTTGTGTGTGTGAAACTTTTCTTGGCCAATGGGTTTTTCTGAAGTATTTTGTTTAATGTTCAAATGTTGGGGTGTTATTGTATATATCCTACTGTTGTCCATCTCTGGTTCATGATACAATGCATGTTCTCCATTGCACTTAGTTGACATGTCTCCATGTGTCTGGAGAATTCCTCAGTCTTTCTAAAATGCTTTTGAAGAATACTGGCAGTTATTTTGTAGAATGTCCCTCCTCAATTTCAGTTAGTCTGATGTTTTCTCACGATTAGGACTAAAGTTATACATTTTGTCTAAGAATACCATAGAATTGATGTTTTGTCCTATTCAGTGCATCATATAAGAAGTTACATGAAGTTCATTTATCTTATTATTAGTAATGTTAACTTTGATCACTTGGCTAAGTTGACATCTCCATTTTGAAGTTACTATTCTATAATTATCTTGTGGGAAGATACTTTCATATTATGCAAATATGTTCTTTCCCAACATATATTCACCACTAATCTTAGCATCCCTCCAAGGTTCTTTCTTGCAACAATTATTACTAAGATATTTGCAAAGTGATGATTCTTATATTTTATGTCTCCTACATTTAATGAAATCTTACTGTAATAAAATACTGCCCATTCTCAACCTTTGGTTTATTATTTATGTCAATATGGATTAATTTTTTTTTTGAGATGGAGTCTTGCTTTGTCATCCAGGCTGGAATGCATTGGTGGGATTTCCACTCACTGCACTTCCACCTTCCGGGATTCAAGCCATTCTCCTGCCTCAGCCTCCTGAGTAGCTGGGACTACAGGCATGTGCCACCATGCCCAGCTAATTTTTGTATTTTTAGTAGAGGCAGGGATTCACCACATTGGTCAGGCTGGTCTCGAACTCCTGACCTCAAGTGATCTGCCCGCCTCGGCCTCCCAAAGGGCTGGGAATACAGGCATGAGCCACCGCACCCAGCCTGGATTAATTGAAAATTTTCTTCTGTAGATTGTAATATATTACTATTGTTATTTATTTTAGTGCCCCAATTTTCTCAAATTTGGCTACGGAAGATTATTCAAAGTGGATTCTGTTTCCTTTTCACATTTTCTCCATTTTGTGAGCATTTCCTTACTTTCTAACATGACAAAATATTTCAAACTAATCTTGTATTTTCCCTGCCCAATCCTGATATCAAATATGTCCCCAAGGAGCCTTGGTTCCTTTAATTGGAGAATGGTGTTCTCATTGTTACTGGGATGATGTTGTTTCTAGGCCCTTTTGTTAGAGGAGTTGGAAAATATATGTATGTATACTCACACATTTATACACATCTGTACTTATTTATACAATTATCCATCTGTATGTATACTAAAAACAATGATTTCATAAAACTTTTGATCCCAATACAACACTAGATAAAGACTATATAGGCCCATTTATTTGCAAATCAGCACATAAACATAGAAGGATTATTAACAATATAAGCTGTAGCTTATGCTAAATGTTGGTTGGAACGGACAATAAATTATGGAGAACTTCAGAGGACACTAAGGTTGGATGGGATCTTGGAAGTTTTACAGGTCAATGCCACTCCATCTATTGGCTGAGTTTCACTAGGTTAATACATGAACAACAAAAATAACCTAGATCAGAAGTTAAAGATCATTTTATTGACTATCTGCCGTGTCTGTGCCATTGCAGTGTACTAGGTGCACTTACGAGTCCTCTACTTACAAACTGCTTTTCACAAAATATGAAACTCCAGGTAAAGGTTCAGACATATGACGTTTGTTTTTAAAATCTTTCTACAGCCTCGTATCCCTTTTCCTTTCCTTCCTTTTACCCTTTTTAAAATGTGTTATGAGTTTTATGTTAGACTAACATCTGTAATGTTGCTATACGCCAGTATTCAGTTGCTGTGTTTGATGAATCATAAAATGGTATAAAACTTCAATTAGTGTACATTTTAAATAAAATATCTATGAATGCATCCAGCAAAATGTTTATGATTTGAGTATTCACAAAATATTACTTTTCTCTGGATCTAACAATAATGTGAAAACTCAAAATGAATATAAAATATTAGCTAATAATAGATTTCAAAGTATTCTACAAATACAAAAAATATATTATTAATTTCATATATGTAAAACATTAATAATTTTTGTCAACATAAACATCATCTTTACACCTAAACTTGTATTAATTCAATTAAGAGTTAATATAGTATCCTAAAGTCATCAAATATTCAAAAATAGAATGTATTCTGACTTGGAATATACATAAAATTAACTATTTTCAGCTGAGCACAGTGGCTCATGCCTGTAATTCCAGCACTTTGGGAGGCTGAGGTAGGCAGATTGCTTGAGATCAGGAGTTTCAGAACAGCCTGGTCAAGATGGTGAAACCCTGTCTCTACCAAAAATACAAGTTAGCCAGGCATGGTGGAACCTGCCTGTAATGCCAACTACTCTGAAGGCTGAGGCAGGAGAATCACTTGAACCCAGGAGGCAGAGGTTGCAGTGAGCCGAGATTGCACCACTGCACTCCAGCCTGGGTGACAGAGTGAGACTCCGTATCAAAATAATAATAATAATAATAATAATAATAATAATAATAATGACTATTTTCTGTGAGTCCCAAGATAAAATAGCATTACAGAATACCTAATAATCCTGAGTTTGGTTTTCTTGGTTTTATTTTTTCATTTAGTTTTGTTCACCTTGACCAGTGGGTTGGTGGTTCTTAGGTGCACCAAGGCTTTCATTTTTCAGTTCAAGATTTTAAAACCTTAATGTGGTAATTTTTCTAATTTTTTTGACATTTACGTCCCAGGTTGCAAGTTAAAATAAAATTCCCATTTTATTAAAGTCTTTGGTTTATTAATGATTTTATAATGACTTAATATATAATTTAATGAGTAATGAGGGGTACTACATTTCAGAAATCAACACTGAAGAACTTATTCATGGAACCAAACACCACCTGTTTCTCAAACACCTATTAAAATAAAAATATATGTAAATAATTTTTAAAAATAAACACTAAAAATAAAGTGAAAATGAAAAAATATATATCCAGGTTAAAAAAAAAAACTACTTCAATTAAACAATAAATACTTTTTGGGGGGACTCTACTACAAAATTATTTGTTGTTTATTATAATCAATAATACAGGTAAAAGAATAAGTTTTTAAAAATGGGAAAATTGTAAAAAATAAAACGATATTAACAAATATTGGTATACTGGTGAAGGCTGGGCTCAGTGGCTGCTTTCCAAATGGTTACATCAGTCGGGCATGGTGGCACACACCTGTAATCTCAGCACTTCCGGAAGGTGAAGCAGGCAGATCACTTGAGCTCAGGAGTTTGACACAAACCTGGGCTACATGACAACACCACATTTCTACCAAAAACTGTAAAAATCAGCTGCACATGATAGCATGCAACTGTAAGTCCCAGCTACTTAGGAGGCTGAGGTGAGAGGGTCACTTGTGCCTGGAAGGTCACAGCTGCACTGGCCATGTTCATGCCACTGCACATCAGCCTGGGCAACAGAGCAAGATTTTGTCTCAAAAAAAAAAAAAAAGTTGGTGACAATGTGGAATAATTGGAACTCACATACATTACTGGTGGGAATATAAAATGGTGTAATCAATTTGGGTGTTTTATTGGCATTTGATTTTTTTAAAAAATCAAGATATTGTTTCCCTATATTGCCCAGGCTTGTCCTGAATTCCCGGGCTAAGAAAATCCTCCAAACTCAGCATCTCAAATACCTGAGATTAAAGGTGTGAGCCACTGCGCCTGACCAGTGTAACCACTTTGAAAATCAACGTGGCAGTTTCTCAAAGACTAAATGTATAGTAATCACATAATGCAACAATTTCACTCCTGAGTGTAAATCCAAGAGAAATAAAAATATATGTTCAAACTAAAACTTACATACGAGTGTTCATAGCAGCCTGACTCATGATGGTGAATACACAAAAACAACACAAATGTCCATCAACTAATGAATGGATAAACATAAACTATTACTCAGCTATAAAAGGAAAGAAATACTGATACACACTATAACATGAAAGAAATTTGAAAACATTGTGCTAAGAGAAAAAAAAAAGCAAACTACAAAAGATCACACATTGTACAATTCTATTTCTATAAAAGGTCCAGATTAGGCAAAACTACAAGGACAGAAAATAAATCAGTGGTTGCCTATGAACATGGGGGAATTAGGAGGTAGCGGCTAAGAGGTGAGGGTTTCTCACTCACAGGTGGGTAACTCATAAGTGGGTAATCACTTCTAAGAGAGACTGTGGTGATGGATGCACAGCTCCTTGAATATTCTAAAAACCACTCAATTGTATACTTTCTTTTTTTCTTTAGTTATTTACAGACAGGGTCTCCTTCTGTCGTCCATGCTGTAGTGCAGTGGTGCCATCTGGTCTCACTGCAACCTATGCCTTCTAGGCTCAAGTGATCTTCCAGTCTCATGTCCCTAAGTAGTTGGGACTACAGGCATGAGCCACCACACCCAGCTAATTTTTGTATTTTTGCTAGAGATGCTGCTTTGTCATGTTGCCCAGGCTAGTCGCAAACTCCCGAACTCAAGCGATCCACCTGCCTCAGCCACCCAAAGTCTTAGCATTATAGGACTTAGCCACTGCACCCGGCCAGAATTGCATACTTTGATAAATGAATTGCATGATATGTTAATCATATTTCAATAACATTATTATTTTAAAAAGGGCTGGGTGTGGCGTGGTGACTCACGCCTGTAATCTCAGCACATTGGGAGGCCAAGGCGGGTGGATTGCCTGATTTCAGGAGTTCGAGGCCAGTCTGGCCAACATACTGAAACCCTGTCTCTACTAAAAGTACAAAAATATTAGCTGACAGTGGTGACATGTGCCTGTAATGCCAGCTAGTTGGGAGGCTGAGGCAGGGGAATTGTTTGAACCAGGGAGGTGGAGGTTGCAGGCAGCCGAGATCACGCCACTGCACTCCAGCCTGCGTGACAGAGTGAGAGTCCGTCTCAAAAAGAAAGAAAAAGAAAATGGGCATTGAACACAGGTGGCTCCCACCTATGTATAATCCAAGCACTTTGGGAAGGTGAGGCAGAATGATCACTTGAGGCCAGGAGTCTGACACCATCGTGGGCAACGCAGCAAGATCCCATCTGTACAATAAAAAATAAAGAAGTTAGCTGGGAATAGGGGCAAATGTATGTAGTCCCAGCTACTTGGGAGGCTGAGGTGGGAGGACAGTTGGAGTCCGGGGTTTCGGGCTGCAGTGAACCATGATCATGCCACCGCACTGCAGCCTGGGTGACAGAACAAGACCCTGTTTCTAGGAAGAAAAAAAAAAAGAAATCCAAGTTTTTATCACCTTCTGAGAGTAATCAATGTTCAGGAGGAACAGAGAACAAAAGACCACTGAATGGTTGAGGGTGGGTTGCTGGTTAGGTTCAGTGGCCAGTTGACTAGTATCTGAAAAATTTATTAGTAAAATTATGGCACTAGGGGTGAGTCATGCAGTCGAATGATGAATACTAAATCCAGTACAAACGCCCATGGTCTTTCTTTACATGAATTCCAGTGAAAAATTTCTAAGTGCCTAAAATAGCAAGTGGTCTGAAATGATGGCAGCAGTTTATTAAAGACTGAAAAAAGAGGCCGGGTGCGGTGGCTCATGCCTGTAATCCCAGCACTGCAGGAGTCCAGGGCCGGTGGATTGCAAGGTCAGGAGTTCAAGACCAGCCTGGCCAACATGCTGAAACCCCATATCTACCAAAAATACAAAACTTAGCCGGGCATGGTGGCATGTGCCTGTAGTCCCAGCTACTTCAGAGGCTGAGGCAAGAGAAATGCTTGAACCCAGGAGGCAGAAGTTGCTGTGAATTGAGATTGTGCCACTGCACTCCAGCCTGGTGACAGAGGAAGATGCCATCTCAAAAAAAAAAAAAAAAAAAGAAATGGCATCTTCAACAACCACAAGAGAGTTCCATGCTGAAGAAGCTCTAATTCTGCATTTGCTCAACTATTGATTTGAGTTAGCCAATATGACACTATCTTAGATAAAGTGTACAAACAACTCAATTTCATCTCCTCATTAATAACTGATTAGGTAGTCTAATATCAATTCTGATTTTTAAAAAGCTAATTAGAAAAAGAATTAATTATAGAACCAATAAGAGGTTTGAATAGTTACAAGCTATTCAAAGGAGGATTCAAAAAACCACTCAGGTATGAAGCCATAAAGTATGATGAAATAAATTTCATTAATATATTTTAAAATAAACTGATTAGACAGGCAACAACACCTGGGCACGGGTCTCCTCACCTCCAGCAACACAAACTCAATCGCGCAGCTATGGGGTTGCAAAGGCTGCATAGTCACAAACAGACTGCTCTGAGTTGAGATTTCTTTACTTGTATCTGTATTCTGAGACAGGGTCTCACTCTGTCACTCTGGCTGCAATGCAGTGGTGCACTCACAGCTAACTGCAGCCTTGACCTCCTGGGCTCCGGGGATCCTCCTGCCTCAGCCTCACCATAGCTATGACTACAGATGACCACCAAAACACCCAGCTAATTTTTATTTATTTATTTATTTATTTGTAGAAAGAGGAGCCTTGCTATGTTGCCCAACCTGGCCTCAAACTCCCACCCTCAAGAGATCTGCCCACCTCAACAACCTGAGTAACTGGTTGTACAGAAAAATACCACTATGCTTGGATAATTATATTTTATTAATTTTTATTTGCATAGAGAGGAGGTCTTGCTCTGCTGCACAGGGTGGTCTCAAACTCCTCGACTCAAATAATTCTCCCATTGCTGCCTCCCAAAGTGCTGATGCTACAGGCATAAGCCACTGCACCTGGCCCGACTTAAAATTTCTTTAATCTAGCATCCCATACTTCCTATAATTGGGAAAAGCCATAGGGTTTTTTTTTTAATTACTTACTATTTCAACAAGAATCAACCATCTCTCACCATTGCCAGGACCCTGGTCAGAACCACTATCATCTCCCACCTGGAGGTTGCCACAGCATGGCCTCCCTGCTTCTACCCAAATCTTCCCACAATCTTTCTCAACTCAGCCACCATGGGATGCTTTTAAATCAGTAGACAATTTGTGTCACCTCTCTGCTCAGAACCCTTCCGCATCTCCCATCTCAGACAGAATAAAAGCCAAAGCCCCAGCAATAGCCTCCCAGGGCTTACACAATCTGTACTGATCTGAGCCCAACAACTCCCTGGCCTTCTTCCCTACTTCTCTCCCTCTCTCTGCTCCACAGGCCTCTTTCCTGAGCTTCAGACACACCACGGAGTTCCCTCTTCGCATCTTTATTATGTTGTTTCTGTCTACAATGCTCTTCCCTCAGTACCTTGGCCAGCTCCTTCCCCTCCTTCAAGTCTTTGCTCAATTTTCACTTAGGAGGCCAACCCTGACCACTCTATTTAATATTGCTATCTGTTCCTATTCCTGCCATGCTCACTCATTTCTTTTTTCTTTTTTTTTTAAGATAAAAATCTCGCTGTGTCACTAAGACTGGGGTGCCATGGCACGATCACAACGCACTGAGACCTGGAACTCCTAGGTCAAGAAATCGTCCTGCCTCAGGGCCTCTAGTAGCTAAGACTACAAGTGCATGCCACCATACCCACTAATTTTTTTTCCATGTAGACAGGGTATCACTTTGTTGCCCAGGCTTATCTTGAACCCCTGGGCCAAAGCAACCATCCTGCTTCAGCCTCCTAAATAGCTGGAATTATAGGTGTGGGCCACCACCCCTGGCTTCATGTTCATTTCTTCTTGCTGCTGTTACAAACTACCCTACATTGAGTGGCTTAATACACCACAAATCTACTACCTAACAGGTCTGGGGGCCAGAAGTCCAAAATAGGTCTATTAAGGCTAAAGTCAAGGTGTCAGCAGGACTGCATCCCTTCTGGAGGTTCTGGAGCGAATGTTTTCCCTTGCCTTTCCCAGTTGCTAAAGCCACCCGTATTCTTTGGCTCATGGCCCCTAACTGCATCTTCAAAGTCAGAAGCAAAGCATATTCGAATCTCCCTCTGTGACCTGTGCTTCCATCATCAAATCTCCTTCAATTCTGACTCTCTTATCTCCCTCTTTCACTTATAAAGACCTCTTGTGATTGCTGGACACAGAGGCCGTGGCTCACAACCACAATCCCAACAATTTAGGAGGTCAAAGCAGGAGAAACGCTTGAGGCCAAAAGTTCGGGACCAGCCTGGGAAACACAGTGAGACCCCCTCAATTAAACAACAAAAAGAAATAAGAAAAAATTAGCTGGGCATGGTGGTATGCATCTGTAGTTTCAGCTACTTGAGAGGCTGCGGTGAAAGAATCGCTTTAGCCCCAGAGTTCAAGACCAGCCTCAGCAATATAACAAGATCCCATCTCTACAAAAAAAAAAAAACACAAAAATTAGCTGGGCATGGATGGTGTGCACCTGTAGTCCCAGATGCTTGGAAGGCGGAGGCGGGGGAATTGCTTGAGCCCAGGTGGTTGAGGCTGCAGTTAGCTAAAACTCCATCATTGCACTCCAGATTCGGTGAAACAGAGAATCTGTGTTCAAAAGAAAAGGAAAAGAAATACACATTTGGTTTCTGCCCCTCATCCTGGCAAAGAGCTTCTCAAGTTCTTATAAAGGCCTTGGTGATGAAGGTGATGGGGCATCTTCTGTTTCAATATTTGGTCTTAGTACCAGGTTTCTAACATAAGAGCCTCTAAGACCTTTGGGATCACCATAGTAAGAATGCATTTGGTGATGTTATTGAGATGACTGGGTGACTGAAAGCTCCTAGACAGCTTCAGAAAAAGGGCTGGTTGTTGCCAGAAGAACAAACCATGTGATTAGAGGATTGGAACTGTCAGCCTCACCCACTGGGCTCCAGGAAGAAACAGTGGCCGAAGACTGACTTAATCACCAGTGGTCAATGACTTCATCAATCATGCCTGCATAATGAAGCTTTCATAAGCGCCCTCAACAACGGGAGTTGGAGAATGTCTGGGTTGCTGAACACAAGGGAGATACCAGGAAAGTAACATGCACAATAGAGGACACGGAAGTTCTGTACCCCTCCCGACATACCTTGCCCTGTGTGTGTGTCTTTTTTTTTTTTTTTTTTTTTTTTTGAGACAGTGTCTGGCTCTGTCTCCCAGCCTAGAGTGCCATGGCACAATCGTGGCTCACTGCGACCTATGCCTCCCTAGCTCAAGCCCCATCCTCTCATCCTCTCACCTCGGCCTCCTGAGTAGCTAGAATTATAGGCACTGAGTAGCTAGAACTATAGATAACTGCACCTGGCTAATTTTTAGAAAAATCTTTTTGTAGAGATGCGTTTTCACCATGTTACCCAGGCTGGTCTTAATCTCCTGAGCACTTAAGTGATGCTCCCACTTCAGTCTCCCAAAGTGCTGAAATTACAGGCATGAGCCACTGTGCCCAGCATGTACATCTCTTTCACTGGCTGTTTCTGAGATATAGCCTTTAAAATGAACCAATAAAAGAAAGTAAATTGGTGAGATGAAGTGGCCCACGTCCATAATCCCAGCATTTTGTGAAGTTGAGGTGGGAGTATCATGTGAGCCCAGAAATTTGAGACCAGCCTGGGCAACATAACATCTCTACAAAAAGTAAAAGAACACAGCCAGATATGCTGGTGCGGGCCTATAATCTCAGCTATTTGGGAGGCTGAGGTGGGAGGATCACTTGAGCCCAGGAGTCCCATGCTACAGTGAGCTTTGATCACACCACTGCATTCCAGCCTGGCAACAGACTGAGACCCTGTATCTCAGAAAAAATAAGAAAACAATCTGTTTTTCTGAGTTCTGCAAGCTGTCCGAGCAAATGATTCCACCCACCAATGGGGTCATGAAACCCTATTTTCTAACTTGTTGGTCAAAACTACATGTAACAACCCAAGACTTGCAATTGGCATGTGGAGTGAGGGTAGACTCCTGGGACTGAGCCTCCATCCTGCGGGGTCTGCACTAACTCCAGGGAGTGTCAGGATGGAATTGTGGGATACCCAGTTGGGATCCAGATTGTCCGAAAATCAGTGTAGAAACTCCACACGCACATTTGGTTAGAGGTGTTTGACCGTGACTATTATTCACGAAAAAGATCTACTCATTAGAACTAAAAATCACAAAATTGTACGTTCTACAAAAACAAATCAACCTTATCTACCACCCAGTCCTACCAATCTACAGAATGTGAGAACAGAAGTTCTGACCGTGGACTCGAGAGCTGGCAGGAATGTCACCACCATCCTGCTCTCCAAGGACTCATCATCTTCAACAGACTCCTCATCTTCAATGGGCAGGGTGGAAACTGCAACTTGTGCCATGATCCTTGCACAAGAAAAGTAGTAAGAAAGTGAGTGGTAGAAATCCAGTGTCCTAAACTCACATCCAGAGCTGTGAGAGTTTTTCACCGGCTGGATAATTCACAGTTTTCTTGAATCAGGGGAAAAATAAGACTCAGAAACTAGGAATTCGTTTTGCCCAAAACTCTCATCAGATAGAGAATCCATCCGCTAACTATCTAGTATTATTTCCATAAGTTAGATCAATTATCACTCCCAAAACAAACGCACATGGCACGCAGAATCTGTGCATTTCTCCCAAGTAAAAGAGGAGGTGGACAGGCACAGTGTCTCATGCCTGTAACCCCAGCACTTTGGGAGGCCAAGGTGGGTGGATCACCTGAAGTCAGGAGTTCAAGACCAGCCTGGCCAACATGGTGATACCCTGTCTCTACTAAAAATAAAAAAAGTTAGCCAGGTGTGATGGCATGTGCCTGTAGTCCCAGCTTCTTGGGAGGCTGAGGCAGAAGAATCACTTGAACCCAGGAGGCTAAGGTTGCGTGAGCAGAGATCACACCACTGCACCTGAGCCTGGGCAACAGAGTGAGACTCTGTCTCAAAAAAAAATAGGGGGAGGAAAGGAGGCAAGGCACTTTACAACCCAGTGATGGGCTACCACAACTCAACACAGCAAAGAGGTGCCAAGCTCCCTTTCTCCCCTGCACAACCCGACACAGAAGAGTTGGTGCAGTGGAATGAGGCTGGATGGAGAGAAGTTCCTCTTCTTTCTTTCCTTTTTTTTTTTTTGAGATGGATTCTCACTCTGTCACACAGGCTGGGGTGCAGTGGCACAATCTCGGTCACTGTAACCTCTGCTTCATGGGTTCAACCAATTCTCTGCCTCAGCCTTCAGAATTCCTGGGATTAGAGGCGCCCCCCCCCCCAACACACCCAGCTAATTTTTTTTTTTTTTAGTGGAGACTGGGTTTCACTATGTTGGCAGGCTGGTCTTGAACTCCTGACCTTGTGATCCACCTGCCTCAGCCTACCAAAGTGCTGGGATTACAGGCATGAACCGCTGTGCCCAGCCGAGAAGTTCCTCTTCTTACTTAGAAAACAGATCACAGGGCATCAAGTAACACGTAAAATTCTTTATAATAAGTAGTATTATTTTTGGAAAACCTTTCCTAATATTTCGGTATCAGCAAAAAGCCTCAGATTAATTTCAAACCCTATAAAAATACAATACATAAACAGAAAATATTAACTGTCAGCAATGCTATAGAGAAATTGGAAGCTGTATGCATTGCTTTTTGGAATGTAAAACGGTACAGCCCACTGTGGAAAACGGTTTAGAAGCTCCTTAAAAATATTAAGCACAGATTTATATGATCCATCAACACCCTTTAAGCGTATATACCCAAAAGAACTGAGAGCAGGGACTCAAACAGGTATTTGTACACCCATTTAACAGCAGCATTATTCACAGTGGCCAAAATGTAGCCCAAACCTAATGCCCATCAATAGGTGAATAGATAAAGAAAATGTAATATATACATACACAGAGTATTATTCAGCCATAAAAAGAAAAATATCTGGCCAGATTCAGGGGCTTACACCTCTAATCCCAGTATTTTGGGAGGCCAAGGTGGGCAGGTCTCTTGAGCCCCATATTTTGAGACCAGGCTGGACAACATGGCACATTTGGTTAGAAGTGTTTGACCATAACTACTATTCAAGAAAAAGATCTACTCGTTAGAACTACAAATCATAAAATTATAAGTTCTACAAAAACAAGTCAACCTTATCTACCACCCAGTCCTACCCAATTATATAATGTTAGAACACAAGATCTCACTGTGGACTCGAGAGCTGATATGAGCAATGTCACCACCATCCTGCTCTCCGCAGAATCATCTTCAATGACTCCTCATCTTCCATGGACTCCTCATCTTCAATGGGCAGGGTGGAAACTGCAACTTGTGCCATGATCCCTGTGCAAAAAAGTAGTAAGAAATTGAATGGTAGAAATCCAGTGTCCTAAACTCACATCCAGAGCTGTGAGAGTTTCTCACCGGCTGCCAAATTGTTTTCTGAATCAGAGAAAAAAATAAAACTTGGTAACTTGGTATTTGATTTGCCCAAAACTCTCATCAGATAGAGAATCCATCCACTAACTTTCTATCTAGTATTATTTCCATGAAGTTACATCAACATCACTCCCAAAATAAATCCAGGTGGAAGACTAAATCCAAAGCTAGCAGAAGGAAAGAAATAATAAAGAGTATAATTAGAGCATAAATCAATAAAATAGAAGGTTGGAGAGCAGTAGAATGAAAAAACATAGATTCTTTGAAAGATCAAGCATTTCACTATATTGACTGAGCAAAAGATGGAAGACTAATTACTAAAATAATACATGAAAGCAGAGCCATTACTACCAACTTTACAGAAATACAAAAGGTTTACAGGAGTACACTGTGAACAACTGTCTAGCAACAAATTAGGTGCCCTGGATGAAATGGATGAATCGCTAGAAAGACAAAAACTACCAAAGTGGCTCATGAAGAAAGAGAAAATCTGAATAGACCTATAACCTAGGAGATTGAATTAGTAATCGAAAGCGATTAACAAAGAAACATTTATGACCAAATAGCTGCATTAACTGGTGAGTCAACCTAACATTTAAAGAAGAATTAATACCATTTATTCTCAAACTCTTCTGACAAAATATATGAAGAAGGAATACTTACTAATTCATTTTTTGATAACAGCATTATCCTTATACCAAAGACAAAGAAAGCACAAAAGAGAGAAATACAGCACTATATCCCTTATGAATATATAAGCAAAAATCTCAGCAAAATACTAACAATCCTAGCAAAATACTAGCAGCAATACTGTATAATCAAAGGATTGTAAACTATCACCCTTTGAGATTTATCCCCAAAATGCAAGGGTGGCTCAACATATAAAAAATCAATCAGTGTAATATACTCTAACAATAAAATGAATAAGGATGTGATTATTTCAATTGATGCAGAGAAAACATTGATGAAATACAACACCCTTCTGTAATAAATATACTCAATAAACTAGGTATAGAAGGGATCTTCTGCAACATGACAATGGGATGTACAAAAACCCAACACTTAATATCATGATCAATGATGAAGCACTGAAAGCTGTTTTCCTAACATCTAGAACAAGATGAGGATGGTGCATTTGCCACTTGTGTTCAATGTAGCACTGGCAGTTCTAGCCAGAGCAATTAGGCAAGACAAAGAAATAAAAGGCATCTACATTAGAAATAAAAAATAGGTAAAATTATATCTACACATGATCTTATGGGTATAAAGCTCCAAACAAAACACAAAACCGATTATAACTAATAAAAGAGGCAGGATGCAAACAAACATAAGGCAAATGGGCTATATTTCTATATAGTTGTAAAGAACTATGAAAACATTTTAAAAATTCCATTTATAATAACATCAAAGAATACGTTATTCGGGCATAAATCTAACCATGGTGGTATACACAAAACTTTGCTGAAAAAAACTAAAGAGAGTGGAAATAAGTGGAAAGACATTCTGTGTTCACAGGTTGTAAGACAATATTGTTAAGATGACAATACCATCTAAAATAATCTACAGATTCAATGCAATACCATCAAAATCCCAAAAGCATTTTTGCAGAAACAAAGAAACTCATTCTAAAGTCATACAAAAATTCAAAGGATCTGACAGACAAAACAGTCTTGAAAAAGAACATTGGAAAACTCACATTTTTCAGTTTCACAGCCTACTACAAATCTACAGTAATCAAGAGAGTGTGGTACTGGCATAAGACCAATAGACTTTCAGACCAATACAATAGAACAGATTTGAGATCCTACAAGTTAGTCCTCACATATATGCTCAATGACTGTTCAACAAGGTGGCCAAGTCAAGGGAGGAAAGAACATTCTCTTCAACAGCTGGATGTCAGTGCACAAGAGAGAAGTTAGACCCCTACCTTGCAGTATATACAAAAATTAATTCTAAATTAATAAAAGACTTAAATGTAAGGACTAAAAATATGTAACTCTTAGAAGAAAACACACGGTAAACCTTTATGACCTTTGAGTTTTAAGTGTATTTTGAAATATGACAGAAAAGCACAGATAACAAAAGAAAATACATGAAAATTAGATTTAATCAAAATAAAAACCCTTTATGCATCAAAGGATACTATCAAGGGAGTGAAAAGACAACCCATAATATGTGAGAAAATATGTGTCTGATAAAATCAAAGTGTGTATCTGATAAAAGTTTAATATCCCACAACTCAACAACAGAATTTCTAAGATCCCAATTAAAAAATAGGCAAAGGACATGAATAGACATTTCTGCAAAGAAGATACACAAATGTCTAAGAAGGACAAGAAAAGATGCTAAACACCGTTATTCATTAATAAAATGTAAGACAAAACCCAAATGAGATGCCACTTTGCATCCACTAGTAAGGCTTGCATAACAACGACACAGAAAATCAATGTTGCTAAAGAGGTGGAGAAACTGGAGCCCTCATGAACTGGCTGCTAGAAATAGAAAATGATGCAGTTGCTGGGGAACAATTTGGTGGTTCCTTAAAGAATCACACAGAGAAACAGGTGCCGCTGGCTTGCGGGTTCTCCTGGGCTGGCGCGGGACGTCCCGGAATCGCAGGCGCGCATCCCTTCCCGCCTGAGGGCCCGCCTGGCCGTGACTCCCACCCCTCTTCTCCTCCAAAGAGAGATCGGGGCCGCTCCAGGGGCCCTCTGCAGCCACCGGGGATGGGGCTGAGGGTCGGTTCCCGCCCCCGTGCAGCTGCTGCAGGACAGACCACCTGGCTTGGCCACAACCACAGGGACATTTGGCCCTGCTTCCGAGATGTGCGGAGTGCGGGCGGGCTCGGGAGTTGCCTGGAGGCTGCTGCCTGCATGCAGAAGGCGGCTGCAACTCGGGTGCCCAGGCGGGCTGGAGGGGCATGGCCTGGTCGGCCTCGAGATCGCCAGCATGCCCAGGCTGAGGGCCCCCAGGCCGTGCCTCCTGCCCACTCCTCCACTTTAGGGAGATCGGAGCCGTTTGTATGGGCACTCGGCAGTCACCCCATGTGGGGTTGAGCGGTGGGTTCTCAGTTCTCGCTCCTGTGCAGCTTCTGCTGCAGGGCAGAATGCCTGGCTTGGCCGCAGCCACTGGGACACCTGGCCCTGGTTCTGCGATGGTGGGAGCGCGAGCGGGCTCGGGGGTTGCCAGGCAGCTGCTGCCTGCACACAGAGGGCGACTGAAGCTTGGGCGCCCAGGCGGCAGAGCATGGTCTGGGTGGCCTCTGGAATGCGTGTGCGCCAGACCTGAGGGTCACCCTGGTGGAGCCACCTACCTTGGTCTTCCGCTGCTGGAGCCTGGAGCAGCTGGAATGGCCACTATTCAGTCACAGGGGATAGAGTTAAGTTTTCTTATCCCACGCATACACACAAAAAGGTAACTATTCTGTGAGGTAATAAACATGTTAATTCACTTCATTCATGCCACTCTGCACCCACAAGTAAGGCTTTCATAACAATGACACAGAAAACAAATGTTGCTAAGGAGGTGGAGAAGTTGGAGCCCTCATGAACTGGCTGCTAGGAATAGAAAATGATGCCCTTGCTGAGGAAAACAATTTGATTGTTCCTCACAGAATGAGCATTGGGTGAAAAATGAAATCAAGATGGAAATGTAAAAAATTTCTTCAAACTGGATGACACAACCTATCAAGACCTCTAGGATACAGCAAAGGCACTGCTAAGAGCAAAGTTTGTAGTCCTAAAAACCTACGTCAAAAAGTCTGAAACAGCACAAAGAGACAATCTAAGTTCACATCTCAAGGAACTAGAGAAGCAGGAACAAGACAAACCCAATCCCAGCAAACACAGGAAATAACCAAGATCAGAGCAGAACTAAATGAAATTGACACAACAACAACAAAAAAATACAAAACATAAATAAAACAAAAAGTTGGTTATTTGAAAAGATAAATAAAATTGATAGACCATTAGCAAGATTAACCAAGAAAAGAAGAGAGAAAATCCAAATAACCTCACTAAGAAATAAAACAGGGGATATTACAACTGACACCACTAAAATATTAAAGATTATTCAAGGATACTATGAACACCTTTTGGCACATAAACTACAAAACCTAGACGAGTTGGATAAATTCCTGGAAAAATACAACTCTCCTAGCTTAAATCAGGAAGAATTAGATACCCCAAGCAGACCAATAAAGCAAGCAGCAAGACTGAAATGGTAATTTTAAAATTACCAGCAAAAAAAGCCGAGGGCCAGACAGATTCACAGCAGAATTCTACCAGACATTCAAAGAATGTCTTCTTTCATTCAAAGAAGAAATGATACCAATCTTTTCATACTATTCCACAAGACAGAGAAAGAAGAAACCCTCCGTTATTCATTCTATGAAGCCAGCATCACCCTAATACCAAAACCATGAAAGGACATAACCAAAAAAGAAAACCACAGACCAATATCCTTGATGAACGCAGATGCCAAAATCCTTAACAAAATACTATCTAACTGAATCCGACAACATATCAAAAAATAATCCACCATGATCAAGTGGGTTTCATACCAATGATATAGGAGTGGTTTCACATATGCAAGTCAATAAATGTGATACATCAAATAAACAGAATTAAAAAATCTAATATGATTATATCAACAGGTGCAGAAAAAACATTTGACAAAATCTAGCATTGCTTTATGATTAAAGCTCTCGGCAAAATAGGCATAAAAGTGACATACCTTAATGTAATAAAAGCCATCTATGACAAACCCACAGCCAACATAATACTGAATGGGGAAATGGTGAAAGCATTCCCTTTGAGAACTGGAACAAGACGAGGAACCTACTCTCACCACTCCTCTTCAACATAGTACTGGAAGTCCTAGCCAGAGTAATCAGACAAAAGAAGGAAATAGAGGAAATCCAAATCGGTAAAGAGGAAGTCAAATTGTCACTTGTTGCTGATGATATGATCTTTTGCCTAGAAAATCCTATGGACTCCTCTAGAAAGCTCCTAGAACTGATAAAAGAATTCAGCAAAGTTTCCAGATACAAGATTAATGGACACAAATCAGTAGCTCTTCTATACATCAACAGCTACCAAACAGAGAATCACATCAAGAACTCAACCCCTTTTACAATAGCTGTGAAAAACAACAACAAAAAACAAAACTTAGGAATATACCTAGCAAAGGAATCAAAAGACCTGTACAATGAAAATTACAAAACACTGCTGAAAGAAATCATAGATGGAGCCAAGCACGGTGGCACATGCCTATAATCCGAGCTACTCGGGAAGCTGAGGCAGGAGAATCGCTTGAACTCGGGAGGCAGAAGTTGTAGTGAGCTGAGATCACACCATTGCACTCCCACCTCAGCGACAAGAGCGAAACTCCCTCTGAAAAAAAAAAAAGAAAGAAAAGAAGTCATAGATGACACAAACAAATGGAAACGCATCCCCATGCTCATGGATGGGTAAAACCAATATTGTGAAAATTACCATTCTGTTAAAGGCAATCTACAAATTCAATGCAATCCCCATCTGAATGCCACCATCATTCTTCACAGAATTACAAAAACAATTCTAAAATTAATATGGAACCAAAAGAGAGCCATATAGCCAAACAAAGCCTAAGCAAAAAGAACTTGGAGGTATCACACTACTTTATTTCAAACTGTACAATAAGGCCATAGTTACCAAAACACCAACGTACTGGTTTAAAAATAGGAACATAGACCAATGGAACAGAAGAGAGAACCCAGAAATTAACCCAAATACTTACAGCCAACTGATCTTCGACAAAGTAAACAAAAACATAAAGTGGGGAAAGGACCCCCTTTTCAATACATGATGTTGGGATAATTGGTCAGCCACGTGTAGGGGAATAAAACTGGATTCGCATCTCTCATCTTATACAAAAATCTACTCAAGATGGATTAAGAACTTAAATCTAATTCCTGAAGTATAAAAATTCTAGAAGATAACACTGGATAAACCCTTCTAGACATTGACATATGCAAGGATTTCATGACCAAGAACCCAAATGCAAATGCAATAAAAACAAAGATAAATAGCTGGGACTTAATTAAACTAAACAGCTTTTGCATGGCAAAGGGAACAGTCAGCAGAGTAAACAGACAACTCACAGAGTAGGACTCCTGAACCTGACCCTGACCCCAGACCCCAACCCCTGACCCTGACCCCTAACCCCTGACCCTAACCCTTAACCGTAACCCCTAAGCCTAACCCCTAACCACAACCCTCACCCTCACACTAATGCAACCCTAACCCCTTATCCCTAACCCCTAACTTCTCTTAACCCCTAACTCTAAACGTTGACTCTTAACTCCTAACTCTGACCCCAACCCCTATCTCCAACCCCTAACCCTAAACTTAACCCCTAACCCCTAACCCTAACACCAACCTTAACCCTAGGTTCATTACTACGTTTGTATTGACTATGTCAATGTTGATTATTATGATCTCTGTCTTAGGACTGCATGGCAGCAAGGGGATTGCGGATCTTATATTAATATTTTTGTATTGAGGCAATGCATTAGCATTACAGGTGCTTGTTACATGAGCAATGGGGGTGTCATATTTTGGGTGTCATCTCTGCATTAGGAGTGCTGCATTTGTCTTCCAAGGCTGCGGTGTGGATCTCGCACTGCGGCCGCCTCGCCTTGGCTGGGGAGAACCTCGGTGGGCAGGATTCAGAGTGGCTTTTGGTTTCCCGTTTTCCACACTGAACCCTTCTAACTGGTCTCTGACCCTGATTATTCAGGGCTGCAAACGGGAAGGATTTTATTCACCGTCTATGCGGCCCCGAGTTGTCCCAAAGCGAGGCACTGCCCCCAAGGTCTGTTGTGAGGAGAACGCTACTCTGCCTTCGCGGTGTCCCCGGGGTCTGTGCTGAGCAGAACGCAGCTCCGCCCTCGCGGTGCCCCCGGCCCGCCTGGGTCTGTGCTGAGGAGAACACTGCTCCGCCTTCGCTGTATCTCCGAAGTCTGTGCAGAGGAGAACTCAGCTCAGACCTGGCGATGCTCTCCTGGCGATGTCTGTGCTGGTAAGAATGCAGCTCCGCCCTCGCAAGGGCTCACAGCGCCGGCGCAGGCGCAGAGAGGCCCACAGCGCCGGCGCAGGCGCAGAGAGGCCCACAGCGCCGGCGCAGGCGCAGAGAGGCCCACAGCGCCGGCGCAGGCGCAGAGAGGCCCACAGCGCCGGCGCAGGCGCAGAGAGGCCCACAGCGCCGGCGCAGGCGCAGAGAGGCCCACAGCGCCGGCGCAGGCGCAGAGCGGCCCAGAGCGCCGGCGCAGGCGCAGAGCGGCCCACAGCGCCGGCGCAGGCGCAGAGCGGCCCACAGCGCCGGCGCAGGCGCAGAGCGGCCCACAGCGCCGGCGCAGGCGCAGAGCGGCCCACAGCGCCGGCGCAGGCGCAGAGCGGCCCACAGCGCCGGCGCAGGCGCAGAGCGGCCCACAGCGCCGGCGCAGGCGCAGAGAGGCCCACAGCGCCGGCGCAGGCGCAGAGAGGCAGAAGGCCCATGAGGGGAAGGTGAGACACCTGGGGCAAAGAAAAAAAAAAATGCGCCGCGAAGCAGTGTCTGGGTCATCCACGGACGAAAGTTTTTTTCCCATCAGCCCTTGCGCTGGGCCCCAGGGACCCTGGCATCCCTGGTTCGCGCCCATGGTGCGCCTCGGGCGACTAGGGGTACCCCAACTCGGACAGAAGCCCCATGAGTGGAAGTTGAAGTTTGTGGGAAGAGAGGTGAGGCACCATGGGCAGAAAAAAAAAAAAAGAGGACCGCGCTTCAGAGAAGCGGGGCCTGGGTCCACCACGGATGAAAGTGCCTTCCCATCAGGCCCTATGCTGTGCCCGGTGGACCCTGGCGACCCTGGTTTGAGCCCAGGGTGCGCCTCGGGACCGCTTGGGGTACCACAAAGCGAACAAAAGGTCCATGAGGGGAAGGTGAGGCACCTGAGGCAGAGAAAAAAAAACGCGCCACCGAGAAGCAGTGCCTGGGTCCCCCACGGATGAAAGTGCCATCCCATCAGCCCCTTCGCTGGGCCCTGGGGACCCTGGCGTCCCTGGTTTGACCCCAGGGTACGCCTCGGGCCAGTATGGGTACCCCAAGGTGGGCAGAAAGCCCCTAAGGGGAAGGTGAGGCACCTGGGGCAGAGAAAAAAAAAAAAACTTCGCCACAGAGAAGCACGGCCTGGGTGCCCCACGGACGAAAGTGTGTTCCCATCAGTCCCTGCACTGGGACCAGGGACCCTGGTGTCCCTGGTTCGAGCTCAGGGTGTGCTTTGGCCGCTAATTGCACCCCAAGGGGGGCTTTGGGCGCACAAAGCCCATGAGGGGAAGGTGAAATTTGAGGGAGGAGAGGTGAGGCAACTGTCATAGAAAAAGAAAAAAAAAACCCGCGCCGTGGAGAGGTGGGGCCTGGGTCCCCCACGGATGAAAGTGCCTTCCCATCAGCCCCTGCGCTGGGCCCCGGGGAACCTGGGGTCCCTGGTTCGAGCTCAGGGAGAGCCTCGGGCCACTAGGGGTACCCCAACGCGGTGGAAAGCCCATGACAGGAAAGTGAGCTGTGAGGGAGGAGAGGTGAGGCACTTGTGGCAGAAAAGAAAAAAAAACCTCGCCACGGAGAAGGGAGGCCTGGGTTCCCCATGGAAGAAAGTGTCTTCCCATCAGACCCTGCGCTGGGCCCCAGGGACCCTGGCATCCCTGGTTTGAGCCCAGGGTGCGCCTCGGGCCGCTGGGGTTACCCAAAGGTGGACAGAAAGCCCATGAGGGGAAGGTGAGGCACCTGTGGCAGGAAAAAAAAAACGCGCCGCAGTGAAGCGGGGCCTGGGTCCCCCACTGAGGAAAGTGCCTTCCCATCAGGGCTTGCGCTGGACCTCGTGGACACTGCGACCCTGGTTCGAGACCAGGGTGCGAATAGGGCCCGCTAGGGGTGCCCCAAAGCGGGCAAAAGGCCTATTAGAGGAAGGTGAGGCACCCGGGCAGAGAAAAAAAACCGCGCCACTGAGAAACGGGGCCTGGGTCCTCCACGAACGAAAGTGTCTTCCCATCAGCGCCTGTGCTGGGCCGCACGGACCCTGGCGTCCCTGGTTCAGCCACAGGGTGTGCCTTGGGCCGCTAGCGGTACCTCTAGGCGGGCAGAGGGCCCATGAGGGGAAGGTGAGGTTTGAGGGAGGAGAGGTGAGGCACCTGCGGCAGAAAAAAAAAAAAGCTCACCTCGGAGAAGCGGGCCCTGGGTCCCCCACGGACAAAAGTCCCTTCCCATCAGCGCTGCGCTGGGCCCCGGGGACACTAGCATCCCTGACTCGAAACCAGGGTGAGCCTCGGGCCCGCTAGGGGTACCCAAAGGAGGTCAGAAAGCCCATGAAGGGAAGGTGAGGCACCTGGGGAAGAGAAAAAAAAAAACCCTGCAGAGGAGCAGAGCTTGGGTCCCCCACAGACGAAAGTGTCTTCCCATCAGCCCCTGAGCTGGGCCCTGTGGAACCTGGCATCCCTGGTTAGAGCCCAGGGTGCGCCTCAGCTTGCTAGGGGTACCCCAAGGCGGGCAGAAGGCCCATGACGGGAAGGTGAGACACCTGGGGCAGAGAAAAAAATTAAAAACCGCTCCGCCTAGAAGCGGGGCCTGGGTCCCCCACGGAAGAAAGTGCCTTCCGATGAGCCCCTGTGCTGGGCCCTGGGGACACTGGCGTCCCTGGTGTGAACACAGGGTGCACCTCGGGACTGCTAGGGTATCCCAACGTAGGCAGAAGGCCCCTGAGGAGAAGGTGAGGCACCTGGGGCAGAGAAAAAAAACCGCGCCGCCGAGAAGCGGGCCCTGGGTCCCCCACGGATGAAAGTGTCTTCCCATCAGCCCCTGCACTGGGCCCCAGGGACCCTGGCGTCCCTGGTTCGAGCCCAGCGTGTGCCTGGGGCCGCTAGGGGTGCCCCAAAGCGGGCAGAAGTCCCATGAGGGGAAGGTGACCCACCTGGGGCAGAGAAAAAAAAAAAACACGCCTCAGAGAAACGGGGCCTGGGTCCCCCACGGAAGAAAGTGTCTCCCCATCAGCCCTTGCGCTGAGCCCCGGGGACCCTGGCATCCCTGGTTCGAGCCCAGGGTATGCCTCGGGCCGCTAGGGGTACCCCAAGGTGGACAGAAGGCCCATGAGGGGAAGGTGAGGCACCTGGGGCAGAGAAAAAAAAAAACTGCGCCGCCAAGAAGTGAGGACTGGGTCCCGACGGACGAAAGTGTATTCCCATGAACCCTTGCGCTGAGCCCCAGGGACTCTGGCACCCTTGGTTCGAGTCCAGTGTGTGCCTAGGGCGGCTAGGGGTACCCCAAGTCGGACAGAAGGCCCATGAGGGGAAGTGAGGTTTCAGGAAGTAGAGGTGAGGCACCTGTGGCAGGTGTCCATCTGTAAACTGTTTATCCATGTGAGCCCTGATGTCCACCAGGGGCTGGATGTCCCCCTGGGGCTAGATGTTCGCCTGGAGCCTGGTGCCCACCTGGGGCCTGATATCCAGGAGAGGCTTAGTTATCCACCTATGGCCATCTGGAGCCAGATGCCCACCTGAGGTCTGGTGTACACCTAAGGCCTGATATCTACCTGGGGCTTGGGTGTTCATGTGGGGCCTGATGTCTACCTAAGACCATGTGTTCACCTGGAGCCTGGGTGACCATCTGGGTTATGATGTTCAGCTGGGGCCCAGAGTTCAGCTGGGGACTGGGTCAACCTTCTGCTTGTTGCATACCTGGGGACTAGGTACCCACCTGGGCTCCGGTGTTCACTGGAGCCTGATGTCTACCTGGGGCCTTGTATTTACCTAGGACCAATGCATCCACCTGGGGTCTGAGTGCCCTCATGGAGCCTGGAGTTTTCCTGGGGCCTGGGGTCTGCCTTAGGCTTAAGTGTACATCTGTGGCCTCATGTCCACCTTGGGATGGATGTCCACCTGGGGATGGATATTCAGTAGGGATCTGAGTGTCCACTTGGTTTGTGATGTCTACCTGGGGCCTGGTGTTCATCTGAGGTTTGATTTCCACCTGGGACCTGGACATTTGCCTGAAACCTGATGTACAGCTGGTGCCTGAAGTTCATCTATGCCTGGTGTCCCCCTGGGGCCAGGTAGTCAACACGGGGTCTGAAGACCTTCTAGAGTTCAGTGTTCACCTGGGGTCCGAAGTCCACATAGGGCTTGGGTGTCCAAATAGGGCCTGGTGTCAGCTTGAGATTTGTGTATTTACCTAGGGCCTGGTTGTCCACTTGGGGCTTGATTTTTTACTTGGTTTTTGTGTTAATTTGGGGTCTAGTGTCCACCTGGGGCCTAGGTATCCACCTAGGGACTATTGTCCAGCTGGAGACTAATGACTACCTATGGCCTGGTAATCACCTAAGGCTTTGTTTCACTTAGGTCCTTGGTGCCAAACTGTTGCCTGCTGTTCACCTGGGGTATGGTGTCCTCCTGGGGTCTGGATGTCAGCCTGGGGCTTGTTGTATACCTGTATCTTAGATATCCAGATAGGGGTCTATTTTCTGCTTAGGTGCAGCAGTCCATCTGGTGCTTGAGTGTCAACCTAAGGCCTGATGTCTATGTTGGACCTTGGGTTCACCTGAGGCCTGATATCCACCTGGGGCCTCAATGTCCAAATGGGGCCTGATGCCCATCTGGGCCCTTGGTGTCCACCTGCAGCATGGATGTCCACCTGGAGCCGAGGAATCCACCCAGGGACTGGTGTTGAACTGGGGCCTGATGACCACGCGGGGACAAGGTACACATCAGGCTTGATGTCCACCTGTCACCAGATGTCCACCTGAGTCCTGATGTCCATCTTGATCCTGGGTGTCCACATTAGGCCTGATGTCCAGCTGGGGCCTGGGTACCCACTGGGGGCTTCCTGTTAACCTGGGGACTGGTGTCATTCTGGGTCCTAATGACCCCCTGGGTTGTATTATTCACCTAGGGTCTGGTGTCCACTTGGGGCTTGAGTGTAACCTTGGACCTGGCACCCACACAGGACTTGGGTATCAAACTGGCCCCTTGGTGTCCAGTTAAGACATCATGTGAATGTGGCGCCTGAGTGTCCACATGGGGCCAAGTGACTACTGGGGGCCTGAATGTCAACCTAGAATCTGAGGTTTACTAGATTACTTAGTTCCGGAACCTCTGAGGATACCAAAATCTATTAATGTTCAAGTCCCTTACATAAAATAGTGTAGTATGTGCCTATAACTTATGTACATCCTCCCATATACTTTAAATCATCTGTAGATTACTTATAATACCTAATACAATGTAAGTGCTGTGTAAGTAGTTATTATACTGCATTGATAAGGTAATCATGACAAGAAACTCTAAACTCTACTATGGAAAGCTACACAGAGTCAACCTGTTTCTAACAATGGGTTTCTGTTACCTTCTTACCAAGCTCTAATTCTTGATAAAGTCTGCTTATTTTCCCCAAATGACTTTTAGATAAAATCTTTATTTTCAGTTTGCATAAAAGTTAGTGCTTATTCTGTGAATCTGACCCATACCATTATTTTCTTTTTGATCTGGGTCTCTGGCATTGGGGCGATTTGTAAAACTATATTAAAGTATTTGGGGGTGATTTACTAAACAGGTCATAGTTGTCCAAAAGAAATATTGAAGTATCCTGAGAGTTCAAATGTGATCAGTGGTTATTGTACTTAAAACAATTACATAATAACATCATCCCCATGTTTTCAAAGTAGTATTGAATTAGGCTATTTGGGTCCTTATAGTAGGCATGGGTTTTCATACCTTTCTGATAAATCTGACTGATGATAGGACTTGGACTAATATGTTGGCATTAAATATTATTTGAATCTGGTAAGAAAGAAAAATATATTGTATGCTTTTATTAGAAATAGCAAATATCAGTTTATTTCATCATAGCCAGTTTTGCCATTTTATAGACAAAAACTTGATACTTTTGAGAGTTTAATTAAACACGATTCAGCTTTTCAGAGGAAGAAAGAAAAACTAAAGATCACAGAGAAAGCTTTTATACAAATTGTAGTTATAAAAAATGTTAATGTTTCTTGCTTCTAACTTTCTTTACAATAAAGATTTTATTGTTTGGGTAAAGATAGAACATTCATTGTAAAAAAATTTAAATACCTAAAAAATACAAAGAAGAAAGTTGAAAAGTTATCATCTCACTATTGTGATATACAAGTAGGGGCTGGGCATGGTGGCTCATGCCTGTAATCCCAGCACTTTGGGAGGCTGAGGCAGGTGGATCCCTTGAGGCCAGGAGTTCAAAACCAGCCTAGCCAACATGGTGAAATCCAGTCTCTACTGAAAATTCAAAAACTAGCCAGGCGTTGTGGCGCACCCCATAATCCCAGCTACTCAGGAGGCTAAGGCATGAGAATCGCTTGAAAGCTGGGAGGCGGAGGTTGCGGTGAGCCGAGATCACACCACTGCACTCCAGCCCAGGCAACAGAGCAAGACTGTATACACACACACACGCACATGCACACGCACACACACACACGCACACACACAAGTAGGTAAATTTTATTCCAGGGATCTCTCTATGCCAGTGCTACTTGGTAGTATGTTGAATGGCAGCCTCAGCCTCAGCTGGGAGCTTGTTAGAAATGCAAATTCTTGACCAACCCAGATCTACTGAATCAGAATCTCTAAGGGAGGGGGTCAAGCAAGCTGTTTTTAATAAGCCCTTCAGGTGATTCTTATACTGTACAGCCATACCGCAGGGATATTGTGGGCTTAGTTCCATATCACTGCAGTAAACTGAATATCACAATAGAGTGAGTCACACACATTTTTTTGTTTCCCATTGCATATAAAAGTTATGCGTTTTGGCCGGGTGTGATGTGACAGGCCTGTAGTCCCAGCTACTTGGGAGGATCACTTGAGCTCAGGAGTTTGAGGCTGCAGTGAGTCATGATTGCACTCCAGCCTGGATGACAGCATGAGACCCCATTTCTTAAAAAAAAAAAAAAAAAAAAAAAAGCTGTGTTTATACTATACTGTAGTCTATAAAATGTGTAATAGAATTGTCTAAAAAACATACATACCTTAATTAAAATTATTTATTGCTAAAAATGCTAACGATCATCTCAGCTTTCAGCAAGTCGTAATCTTTTTGCTGGTAGAGGGTCTTGCCACAATGTTGATGGGTGCTGACCAATCAGGGTAGTAGTTACTGAAGGTTGGGGTGGCTATCGCAATTTCATAAGATAATAATGAAGTTTGCTGCATTAGTTGACTCTCCCTTTCATAAAAGATGTCTCTATAGCACATGATGCTATTTGATAGCATTTTACTCACAGTATGACTTCTTTCAAAATTGGAGTCAGTCCTCTCAAACCCTGCTTTATCAATTAAGCTTCTGTCATATTTTAAATCCTTTGTTGTCATTTTGACAGTGTTCATAGCATCTTCACCAGGAGTAGATTCCATCTCAAGAAACCACGTTCTTTTCCCGTCCATAAGAAACAACTTCTCATTAGTTAAAGTTTTCTTATGAGATTGCAGGAATTGAGTCACATCTTCAGACTCCCCTTCTAATTCTAGTTCTCTTACTGTTTCCACCATATCTGCAGTTATTTCCTCCATTGAAGTCTGAAATCCCTCAAAGTCATCTGTGAGGGCTGGAATCATCTTTCAAACTCCTATTCATGTTGATACTTTGATCTCCCATGAATCACGAATGTTCTTAATGACATCTAGAATGATGAATTTACTTTGCCTAGATCCATCAGAGGAATCACTATCTATGGTAGCTATAGCCTTATGAAATATATTTCTTAAATAAGACTTAAAAGTCAAAGTTACTCCTTGATCAGTGGGCTGCAGAATGGATGTTGTGTTAGCAGGCATGAAAACAACATTAATCTCCTTGTACATCTCCATCACAGCTCTTGGGTGATCAGGTGCGTTGTCAATGAGCAATAATATTTTGAAGGAATCTTTTTTTTTCTAAGCAGTAGATCTCAATGGTGGGCTTAAAATAAACCATGCTGTAAACAGATGTGCTGTCATCTAGGCTTTATTATTTATAGAAAACAGGCAGAGGAGATTTAGCATAATTCTTAATGGCCCTAGAATTTTCAGGATGGTAAATGATTATTGGCTTCAACTTGAAGTCACCAGCTGCTTTAGCCTCTAACAAGAGAGTCAGCCTGTCCTTTGAATCTTTGAAGCCAGGCATTGACTTCTCTATAGCTATGAAAGTCCTAAATGGCATCTTCTTCCAAAAGGAGGCCATTTCATCTCCATTAGAAATCTGTTGCTGGCCGGGCTCGGTGGCTCATGCCTGTAATTTCAGCACTTTGGGAGGCCGAGATGGGCAGATCACGAGTTCAGGAGTTCAAGACCAGCCTGGCCAACATAGTGAAACCCCATCTCGACTAAAAATACCAAAAATTAGCCTGGCTTTGTGGTGGGAGCCTGTAATCCCAGTTACTTGGGAGGCTGAGGCAGGAGAATGGCTTGAACCTGGGAGGCGGAGGTGGCAGTGAGCTGAGATTGCACATTGCACTCCAGCCTGGGTGACAGAGCGAGACTCCATCTCAAAATAAATAAATAAATAAATAAATAAATAAATAAATAAATAAATAAAAAATAAGTCTGTTGCTTAGTGTAGCTACTTTCATGAATGATGTTAGCTACATCTTCTAGGTAGTTTACTACAGCTTCTATATCAGCATTTGCTGCTTTCCCTTGCACTTTTATGTTATGGAGATGGATTCTTTCTTTAAATCTTGTGAACCAACCTCTGCTACCTTCCAACTTTTCTTCTCTAGCTTCCTCACCTCTCTCAGCCTTCATAGAACTGAAGAGAGTTAGGGTTGCTCTGAATTAGGCTTTGGCTTAAGGGAACATTGTGGCTTGTTTGATCATCTATCCAGATCACTTCGTATCAGCAATAAGGCTGTTTTATTATCATTTGTGTGTTTACTGGAGTAGCACTTTTAATTTCCTTCAAGAACTTTTCCTTTGCATTCACAACTTAGCTAACTGGCTCAAGAGACCTAGCTTTTGGCGTATCTTGGCTTTCAACATAACTTCCTCACTAAGCATAATCATTTCTAGCTCTTGATTTAAAGTGAGAAACAGGTGACTGTTCCTTTCACTTGAACACTTAGAGGCCATTGTAGGATATTAATTGGCCTAGTTTCATGTTGATCATATTCTTTATGTTGTCATGGTTCTGTCGTAATTCTTTTAGTTCTATGTTTTAATAGTTTTGGTGCTCATTACCAGTACTGTTGCTTCTCCATTCCCGAGTTAGTCCATCTCCTGATTGAATTTCATTGTCAGGCAGTCTTTTCAAGATACAGGTACTGCATGCATTCTTTGGGTTCTTATACACTTCATTGATTCAAAATATTTGTCTTTTGTTTTTATATTACTTGAAGGATTACTTGGCTAGGTATAAAATTTATCAGTCACACTTTTTTCCCCCTCAACTTTGTAAATGTTGTTCCATAATCTCCTAGTGTTTGATTGGCTGGATTTCTTTGTCCAATGTTTTCTCCTTTTATTAGGAAGAATTTGTGAGTATTATAGTCTCTGAGTTTCAATGCTTGCTGTTTTCTTTAATGCTTGAGAATGTCTGTCTATTGCTTTCATTCCTGAAAAATAACTTGTTTGGGAACACTTTCATTAGAACTTTGTAGTCACTGTTTTATTATTTTGGGACATCTAGTGTTACTGTAGAAAAGTGATTTTTCTCCCTCCCTCCTTGAAGGCACTTTTTTTTTTTAATCTAAAATGCCTGAGAGTTTTCTTCTTTATTTTTGAAATTCAGTATTATAAACAAGGTATATCTAAGTGTCACTTATAATCATTTTTGCCTAAATTATAATATGCCCTTAGTTCTTCTAAGAACATTTTCCTTGTTTATTACCATGAATACTTTTTTTTGGTCAAATTATTAGATCCTCTACTTCATGACACCAGTTTTTTTAATACTGAATTTTCTTTTGTTCTTCGTATGTATTCTAATTGCTTTGATTTGTCTTTTACCTTTGCATTTACTGTGATCATCTGAAGCCTTTCTTTTTGTCAGTAATTCTGTTTTCTCCAGTGTCTGTCCTGTTTTTGATATTTTAAATGAATTAATTGGTTAAGTCATTAATTATTAATTAATTGGTTAAGTCAATAATTAAATTATTAATAATTATTAATTAATTGGTTAAGTCAATAATTAAAAATAATTAATTGGTTAAGTCATATAGGCTCTAAGTTTCTTTAGCACTACAAACTGCATTTTCATCTTATTCTGCTTCTTCTTGCTTTTGAGCTTGTTTATTATAAGGTTGTATTGTTTTCAAGTTCTTCATTATGATGAAGTTGTTGAGAATTTTCTTTAGTTTTTATTGGGTTATGTATCCTTCCAGAATGGGTTGGTTCTTTGCCATTTGTATGCCCTATTCATTTCTTCATTTTGTGTTCTTTCTTGCTTTTTATTCCCTGTATGTGTGTGTTTCTTTTTGTCAGGCTGTAATACATATGCATACATGTTTCTTCTTGATATGGGAGAACTTCTATGTGGTGCTGATGGGAAATATTTTTAATACTCCACTCTCCTTACCCAAGTTTGTTTTTCTCCTGAGCCCTAGTTTGAAAGCTGTATATTGTTGGAGTGGAGGGAAAGAGAAGGGAAAAGTGGTGATTCAGAGAGCCAAATGGGGCAATGTGGCTTTTAGGCTCTGCTCTCTTGAAGTACCAAGTATTTCACTCTTGGGTCTGCCCAACTGCTTATGAATAAAATTCCTTTGCCTTGTATGGGGACATCATTCGACCTCAGACCTCTCATTTCTCTTTGTTCTGAGCCCTAGAATGTGACCTGACCTTCTCCTTCCCAAAGCATGGAGATGGTTAAAACTCACTCTTGAAATTTTTTTGTTGACTTTTCCCTGTGTTGCTTATTCATTCCTCGGCTCTACTTTTTGCCATTTTGGAGTGTATTTCTGGTAAGTGTTTAGGATTTTGTAAACTATTTCCCTACAACCTCTTATTGGAGGTAGGGGTAGAGTTGGGAATGACCATCAATCACATATAACTTTGTTTCTTATTTTGACTATCAGTCTTCAAAATTTATGGCAGGCCCTTTTATATTTGGTTGCTGCTAGTAAAATGTTGGCCTTTTTGTTTTATTTTTTATTTTTATTTTTTGTTTTATTAGATTTTGAAGAAGGGAGATTCTAAAATGTAGTTCAGGTTTTCTCAGTGTCAGCACAAATAACATTTTGGGTTGGATAATTATTTGTTGTGAGGGGGTTGCCCTGTGCAGAGTAGGATATTTAACAACATCCCTGGCTTCTACCCACTAGATGCCAGTAGCATTCCCCTAGTTAAGACAACCAAAAACATCTTCAGACATTGCCAAATATTCCCTGGGGAGAAAAGCACCCTGGTTTGAGAGCCACTGATCAATTTTGTTCATTCATCTTTACTCCTCCTAAATACCTACATCCAAATTTTAAATAGATCTTTCTCATGTAGTCTGGCAAGTATTATATCAAAGATAAATACCAGTTTTAGAATAAAGCATTAATATACTCTTACATTTCAACTTAAGAGGCAAATATTAACAGTAGGATTTGTAAACTATTTATTAGACTAAAAATCAATGAATTTTTAAAAATTACAAAATGATTTATGTATGTTAGATATTTTACTGAGTGAAAAAATTCATGCTTTTTTAAATGACTTATTGTTTGGAGTAGTGATACAGTAGATTTAATTTTCCCCCTCATTAATTAAAATCATGTTTTAGCCAAGAAAGTGAACAAAATTCTTATTGGCAATTCAGTTGTTTCCCGTTTTGGAGACTGACACTCTCCAGTTCTAAGTTAAATAATTGTCATGGTAAAGTAATTTCCTTGAAAAGAACGGACATTGATTCAGCCCCTGTTACTCACAAATGCTATTTGAGTCAAATTGGAAAACTATTAAGTTTTTGGGAAAAAAATCAATAGGTATCAGGAAACCATTAGATCTTGTGGCCCTTGCTATATCTTGCATGAGTAATCACTGTAAACAGCTGACAGGTATTTCATTGTTGACACTGAGTGATGCTTGGGGGACCACATCTTGTCAGAGCAGGTGGACAGCTTTAGACGTTGGAATGAGTTTGATTATCCTTGTTTTTCTCCTACACTCATTCTTTTAGACAGCCCTGTCACTAACTGGGCCTGTGATGCTTTCAAAAATCAAATACTTTCCTTGCTGTCAGTTTTCTTTTTCTTGCGTTGTGGCATACTAATCAGGGTATGTGGTTTGGTACTGAACCAATTTCTGTCAAAAGCAAGTTTTAATTTATTATTTAGGAAAAATTTTTCCTAAGACCCAGGTTTTATACAGTCCTAAATAAATAGTGTGAGGAATAATTAGTAATGTCATAGAGTATATAATTTTACTTCTAGTTCTACACAGATTACAAGTAAAATTTTTTTGGGCAAGTGATTTTGGAATTATCTATGTTTTGTTTTCCTTTTCCTTTAGAGTGATAATTCACTATTTATGATTGAATGATTATCATATTAAAGAGGTGAGAAAATAAAAATAAGTCTGATGTGCACAAAGCCATACTGCTCAAATTGTTTGATAATATCTGTTAATTAAATTATTATGACATCGGTAGAAGAATGATGTTTTGTTTATATGTGGTTAGAATTGGTCTTTTTTAAAGGAAATAACAAGAGAGATGGAAATGGAATGGGTATAAATAGTAAAAGGTTCTATCACTATAATTCCCTTTTGCTCTAAATAGTTAAAGCTTCTATCACTATAATTTCCATAAGAAGATATATGTGTTTACCTGTTAATTTTATCAGGGCAAATTAAAACATGGATAGAATCATGTTTCTCAGTGTGAAGAAATATTTTTATTTGATGAATATTATATATTTTCAGGTGCAGTGGCTTCTATGTTTTGGGTTGATGCTGAATTAGGGAGTGATATTTACCTTGATGGTAAGTTAAAAAACAGTTTTCTTTTATCTTTCTTGTTTTTTTTTTTTTTTTTCTGAGACAGAGACTCACTTTGTTGCCCAGACTGGAGTGCATGGAGTGCAGTGGCAAGATCTCGGCTCACTGCAACCTTTACCTCCTGGGTTCAAGTGATTCTCCTGCCTCAGCCTCCCGAGTAGCTGGGAATACAGGCGTGCACCATCGTACCTGGCTAATTTTTGGATTTTTAGTAGAGATGGGGTTTCGCCATGTTGGCCTGACTGGTCTTGAACCCCTGACTTCAGGTGATCCGCCAGCCTCGGCCTCCCAAAGTGCTGGGATTACAGGCGTGAGCCACCACACCCTGCCTCTTTTGTTTTTTAGTAAAATCTTTATGGTTAAGCTTATTGTTGTTCATTCATATTATAACTTTAATTCCTTGCATTGTGGTTCTTTTCACACTTTAGTTTAATGATGAAATCTTTGTTCATATAGATTAAAAAACCCCAGACAGTGGTGGAACTCGATGTCACTCAACTTCCAATTTAGTGCTTCCACTAAGGTTTTCTTTAAAAAAAAAAAATGCTTTGTAGGTATTCTGTATCCTCTGTTGTTTGATTTATGCCCTTAATGTAATGTTAGAGCCTTTTATTTTAATCCTCCAGGCAATATGAGGATCATATTTTTGCTTTTATTTTCTCTTGAAGATAAGAATTAAACACTCCTCCCTTACTTTATTTACCTGAACACTTTTGGGCAATGATATGCCTTCATTTAAAATATATTAGAAACTTTCTTAGTTAAGCGACTATGTTTTCTCCCTTTCTCTTTCCCTTTTTCACCTTTTTAAAAACCAGTCGAAATTTTCTTACTTTTTCAAAAGTAATAATCATTAAGAAATTTAAGAATTATTAAGCTGGGCCCCATCATTGAGCTCTAATATATGTGGCGGGTAACTGGTTGAATTCCTTAGGCATAAACTCATTCTTTTGTTATCAGCATATATTCAGAGATTGCAAAATGAATTGGTAGTTTGGAAACTTAGGCATATGTTATGTAAAACATTTATGAGTTGGATTTGGATTTGGTGAGAGATGTTAGGAATGATACCTTAAGATGTCTCATTCTTTAGGCAATAATTTAAATCTTAAGAAAAGTCTTGATTTTGATTATGTGAAAATAAACTAGAAATAACCTGTCTTATGTACTTATCACATTTGACTATGTTATGAAATTTGACTTATATTTTGGATTGTAAGCTTTTTCAGTGCCAAGGAAATCTTATTTTCTTATTTATTTAATTTAAAATTTTTATTTGTTTTATATCTTCTCTAGTGCCTTAAAATAGTGCTAGCCACTCAGGAAATGCATTGACTTATTACTGGAATTTAATTAAATGGCAGCACTGGCAAGAGAAAAAAATAGTACATTGTTTTATTGAGTAGTATTTGTGAACTGAAATAGGTTAGTTTTAATTTTCATTCTGAAGTATGGTTGCACAAGTATTAATAAGCATTCTTTTTAAAAAGTGATTAAAATGTTTTTTCCTTTGTAGGTATCATAACTATTGTGGATTCAAAATATGGATTAAAAGTAAGTTGAAAGATTGCTATGAGTGGCTCATTATTGAGAGCTGGGAATATGGGGATTGATTGTTTAATTTTCTTTATGTTTGTATCTGAAATTTTCTTTAACAAAAACCTTTCTCAAAAAGATATCCTGAACAATAGGTGAAATTTGTGTTTTAATTATTAGTTTGTGTTAAATATTTCTTTTCTATTACTCTGAGTTTGATTTGGTGATAAAATTTGGAATTATAATTTGTAATAAGCATATGGGGTTAGGATAGAGTTTGGTATGTATAGCTCTTCACAAGGATTCAACCCCAATATTGGTAAGTTTTTCTGTTCCATAGAAGAAGCTGAGCTTGATAAAGCATCTGAGATCTTATTTTTCTTGTTAAATTACTATTAAACACACACTGGAAATGAGTTTTTAAAAAATATTGAAGACCTAGGTGATGGGTTAATAGGTGCAGGAAACCACCATGGCACCCGTTTACCTATGTAACAAACCTGCACATCGTGAGCATGTACCCTGGAACTTAAAATTTAAAAAGTACATATTGAAGAAAATCAGGTTATACACATAGGATTAGTAAGAAGACTCTCTCCATTAAAAGGTATCTTGCATCACTTCTTGGTCTTTTGGCTAAGATCAAGTGTAAAAGACATCCTGCTATGAATGTTTTTGTTAACTTCTAAGGTCCTAGAATGCATTTAAATGAGGTTTAATTTATAAAATGCATTTAGTAAGATCTTTAAAAGTATGTTGTTACATACAGTAAAATGATGTTTCTCAACTTCCCAGGTGAAATACCACTAAAGGCAGAAGAGAATGAAATCATCCCACCCACTGACCCGTTCCCAATCTGAGCATATGGATAGGGCCCAAAGCAGTAAGTTCTTAGAAGTTTAAATTCAGTGTTTAAAAATTAGTGTCTGTTTTGTATCCAACCTCATATCTGAACGTGTTAATTTTTTTTTTTTTTTGAGACAGAGTCTCACTCTGTTGCCCAGGCTGGAGTGCAGTGGCACCATCTTGGCTCACTGCAACCTCCACCTCCCAGGTTCAAGCGATTCCCTTGTCTCAGCCTCCTGAGTATCTGGGATTACAGGTGCACACCACCATGGCCAGCTAATTTTGTATTTTTAGTAGAGACAGGATTTTACCATGTTGACCAGCCTGGTCATGAACTCCTGACCTCAAGTGATCCACTTGCCTCGGCCTCCCAAAGTGCTGGGATTACAGGCATGAGCCACCACGCCCGGCCTGAACTTGTTAATGTTTAAGTTTGCTTTTTTTTCCCAAATCTTTGCTGAAATTATGCTCTAAGGGGATATGTCAGGTTTGTCAAATAGCTACCAATACCTCTTCACTGGGCCTTCTCTCCCTCGTTGATAGAGTGCCCTAATTTGAAAAGTTTGGAAGAAAACTCCTTTTTTAGAGTTTAAAATCTCAATTTATGAATTTATGAATATAATTTAAGAATCAAAGAATGATCCCAAATACAGTATTACAGTTTCACGCAGAAAAATTCCAATGACTGTTGGAAATCATATTTCTTGCAAAATGCTTATGGAGGTAGCAAAAAAGCCCCAAATTATTCATTTTGAATGTTTATTATAGGCATGTTTGAATCTACCTCTTCCATAAATTAATTACAAAATTTGATATACCTATGTGACAGATAACTGCTAAGACATTTTGTTTTTTTTTTTATTTTGATAAACTGAAAATGCCATGCTAAAAGTCAAACTGTTTATGTATTTTATGATTATAGGAAAAATTTTATATGTATAGTTGGGTATGGAGAAGAGTTAAATAGAATCTATTATCAGCATGATGGAGGCCAAAAAAACAAAGCAACATTCTGAATAATGCAAACACAGTAAACGTTTAACCTTCTGCTACCTTGATAAAACCTCTTAAATTATTAAATCAATATACCTACACAAAACTGACACACTGTCAGGATAATGGAAACTTTAAATTTTCTAAGTCGGATGCCAGATAAATAACTTTGCCTTGATATAAAGAATTTTCCAACTTGTCCAATTCCTCTGGTTGCAAAGCTTGACCTCAGTAGCTGCTTGTGATTCAGAGAATTCTGAGGCAGTACAAGTAATGACACTTGGATAATGGGCAGCAATTTAAGAATGTCATGCTTCACAGAGCCAGCCCATGACAAGTAAAGCTGAGAAATGGTACCCTGTGGCCAGCCAGCCAAATTGAAACTGAAGTGGTAATTGATATCATGGGGTATCACTCTAATGGGATTGTCACCCATTGATCTGAAATATTCATTTTTTAATCATAGGCAAAGAATTGGACAACTTAAAATGACAGCTCTCTATTCTGAGGACTTGACACCCGGGCTACTGACATTGTTCTTTTCAGTTCTACAAATGTGACAGCATTTAATGCAATAGAAGCAATGAATGAAGTTACCCAGAGAAGGTCAAGTGAGAGGTTTCTTCTTGGTTCCTCTGTTATGTTGCACAATCTGTTGAAACAATTCAGTCAGAAAACAGTTAGCTTGGAAAAGGCCAGAACAATAAATAGACTGACATTATGCAATAATTTTTTAAAAACTAAAATAGTGTTACATCTGTAACCAATCCATTTGAAAGAAATAGTTCCTGCTGCTGCTTTTTAAAAATGACACCAGACATCTTTGACACTAGATTTATTTCCACTCTGGTCAACAGCAGTGTTCTTTCATAGCCAGTGGGTTTTAAGACAGTTTTTTCTTTTCTTTCTTTCTCTTTTTTCGGTCCGGCTTCTTTCTTTATTTCTGCAGAAAAGGACACCCTATAGCCCTTCATGAAGTTAGGTCTACAGTGGTGTTATTTCAGAGAGTTCCTTTGTTTCTCTCCCTAACCCCCCAGCTTTATTGAGGTATAATTGACAAGTAAAAACTATATATATTTAAGGTATACAGTGTGTGAATTACATTATCAAACAATCGAGCTAGTTAACCTATCCATCACCTCACATTGCTATTTTTTTGAGAGGGGGTGGTAAGAACAATTAAGATCTATGTTTTAGCAGATTCAAGTATACAATAGAATTAACTACAGTCATCATGCTGTAATTAGCTCTCCATGACTTATGCATCTTGTATAACAAACTTTGTATTCTTTGACCAACATCTCACACCACTCCCCTTTAATTTCCTTTGTTTCTTGTGGTAAGTTAAATTGGGGTTTTGATCCTTAGCCTTTTGAATATGTTGGATTAATTAGTATCAAAATTATTTTTGTCTTTTTTGATATATAAGCAAAAGCCATAGTTGTTAAGCAGAGATAAGGAATACTTTGGACATCTATGTAATATAAAATATTTAAAAAATATTTTGCAAATTTTTTTTCTTCATTTACTTATACAGGTGGAATACAATGCCAAACTTTCCATTTTGTTTTATTTTATAAATGAAAGTCATCTGACTTAATGACCAAATGGTATATAATGTATTATTGGAGAATGTTCTTTTGAATAGAAGACATTGATTTTATACTTTTTGCAGAGTTTGACTTGGGAAGGTAGGAAGTCACATGAGGGAAATGCAGGGCTGATGTCTAAAGAAAATAAATGTTAATATGCACTTATTTTTTTAAATGTTTGTATAGCTTTCCTATGGGCATAGAAGAGGACATTTATCTCTTCTGCTATAATTGTATATGATTACATATAATTTTAATACAGCTGTAAATATTGGCAGGCTCTCATTTGGGGTGATTTTCATTTATTTTTATATTTGATACTTTCTGACTGCCTGGAAGTAGTAAAACGTTAGTCTACCACTGTTAGCTTTGAGTGAAGAATTCTAATATTTTGGAGAGGTAAATGCATTTAAAACATTGCACATTACCTTGTGAAACTAACATTGTATTAGTTACATTTAGGCATGGAAATGCAAAAACAAATCTGTAATTCTTCTGTCATATCATTTTTATGCCTCACAAACTCATAGCCAGATAACCCCAATTTCATATGTTAAAAAAGCTTTCATAAGGTCAATAATATATCTTGAAAAATATTTCAGTTTAAAAAGAATTTTCAGTACTATAGGATCATTCAGAGGCCGATGCCTTGCCAAAAATATATCATTGTTAAGTAGATTTACTGCTTAATGGGAAGAGATTTGTTGCTGCATGTTAGATGGCATTTTTCATGTAACATCTTTTATGTATCCCCACAACAGGAGGTGTTAATTACAATTCATTCAACAAATATTTCTTGAGCCTTTGTGCCAGGCACCATTCCAAGGTCTGTTAGCAGCCTCATTCTCTAGAGGCAGAGTATATAACAATAGGACTTGTTGTAGCCTCAGGCCAAGATGAATTATGAAAAAAATATTAAACTTGATCTTTTGGCATGGAATGATTTTTGATACAATACTTGTCAAGTTCTGTGACTTCCATAATTGCAGAGTGGGTCTGCAGTTGAATTGAACAAGATTTTGCCTGAAGTAGAAGTATCGTTGCCATGATTTTATTTCAGTTTTGTTTTCCTCAAAATAGAATTTGCTGAACTTTTAGAAGGAAAAAATGTTTCTTCTATAGACCTAATCAAGCTTGTTAAATAAAATTATTACCTGCTTGCTCTGAGGTTCCAAACTTTTCAGATACCCCTAATGATCATCTCCCCATGAATTATGAAACTGGTTTGGCTCTGATATATGGTTATTGACATTTGTGTAGCATTGTACACAGACTGATTTTATGTGGCATAAAAGATTTCACAAAGACTTTAAAATTATGTTCATTTTACTTGATGGGTGTGTGTTCAATTAAAAAAAAAAGTCCCTGTGATTGTATATAAAATATAGTATCCTGTGATGATGAGGGTGTTAGATTTAGTTTCTTCCTTTATAAATGAAAATAGCCATCTCCCATAATTATTATGAAAGCTAAATGAGAAAAATGTATATAATTTATAAAGTTAGATTCAAGGATTTAATTCATTTGTAAAGTTGGCTTCAAATATAGAGTATTACTATAATCTAGTTGCCTCTAAACCTCAGTAGCCAGCTTTTTATTGTGACAGGGAACCTCTATTGAGGTTTGAGGTAATGAGGGTAAAAGTGTAATTTCCCAGAGAAGAAGCTTGTGATGTTGATGACGTTAGGGATGTAAACAGGATTATGAGGGGGGGAAAAAAAAACAGACAACAAAACTTGCCTCCAGAGAGATGGAAACTACCACTTGGGCTCTAAGTCAGTGTCAAAATATTTTTTGGAGTTAGCCTGACTCTGGAGAGGTCAGTAAAATAAATAGTTGCACTGAGAGGCCAGATTAGCAAGTATGGGTTTCTAAATGATAAACTGCTTTTAGGCTAGAATCAGGGCTGAATCAGCCTTCCCACCACTTATTTGTTTCTAGGGTGTTTGAAAGGCCTAGTACTGAGTTCACGTGGTGCATGATTGTGGGCTGGGGTATAGGGAAGTATTTTAGATTCTAATATGAGGGTTTGGTGTGAAGGGAAGTATATTAGATTCTAAGAAACTATATTTCAGTGGTTATCTTTTTTTTAAAATAAGTAATAATGAATATTTAGAACCAGAACAGTTTTGTAAGAAGGAAAATACCTAAAATCTGAACTGTAATCTTCTATGTTTTTATGACATTATGTGAATCAAAGGGGTTTTCCTTTTAAGTAAAAGAAAAGGTCAGGAGTATGAAGTCCTAAGCCCTCTTCCTCCCCCTATAAAACCCCACAGGTTCACTTGTAGAAAAAAATTGCAAATGGGGAAGAAAAATGCTTTCAGCTAGAAAAGTTAGTTTTGGATTTGTGTATTCAGTAACAGAACATGTTGAAGTTTTCATTAGATGCAAGAAAATGTCTCTAAAGTAAAATCCTTTGTGTTGACATTAGATTTTTTATTGTATTATAGTAACTTTATTCAAACTTTTTTTTGTTTAGCATTTAACAGAAGAGAAACCTGATGGCCTTATCAATGAAGCTACTAGGTATTCATATTTAAAGTATATATTGATTGCTGGCTAATTGTAAAGAGAAAAATCACTAAGATGAAAACCAAAAACAAACTAAGAAATTTTAAAACATAGTCAAGGAAAATTTATTTTCTTTTTTTCCCTTAGTTGAATTATTGCTATCTATTTATAATGTTCTCATAACTAAACTTTTACTTAAAGTCATTTTTGTCATAGCATAAAGTGAATGCTGAACACAGGAGTTCTGTAATTTTGAGGAACTCGGGAAATATTAACATTTAAAAATATTTTCTTGTTATACAATTTCTTTGGGATTGAAGATTTTATATATATATATATGTATAATAATAATAATTATTATTATTTTTTGAGACAGAATCTCACTCTGTCACCCAGGCTGAAGTGCAGGCTCACTGCAACCTCCGCCTCCCAGGTTCAAGCGATTCTCCTGCCTCAGCCTCCCAAGTAGCTGGGATTACAGGCACCTGCCACCATGCCCAGCTAATTTTTGCATTTTTTTTTAATTTTTTTAATTTAATTTTATTTTTTTTTAGTAGAGATGGGGTTTCACCATGTTGGCCAGGCTGGTCTCGAGCTCCTGACCTCAGGTGATCCACCCGCCTCGGCCTCCCAAAGTGCTGGGATTACAGGCATGAATCCACTGCGTCTGGCTGAACTTAAGTATTTTTGTAACTTTTTTCCTTATGAAAATATGGTTATTATAGAAAATATAAATAAGCCAAATAGAAAATAGCCAAATTGGATTTGTGATGTACATACTGTTGAAACCTGCTCTTTCAGTGAACTAAAGTTAATTTAGTTTTGAGAATTTAGTTGTATTCTTTGAGATAAAGCATAAGACCCTGAATAATTGAGGAAAATTGAAAGAATTTCCAGTTTTACTATCCTGTTAATAGAAAATAGAGCTTCTGATTATTATCATCTACTTTGTTATCTAGCATTCAGTCAACTGGATTCTTTACAGAGATAATATACAGTATATTTATAGTGATAAAGAAGACATTTGTGCAATATCCTGATATATCTTCTGAAGTATAGCTTATTTTTTTTAAGAAATGGAGTCTTGCTATGTTGCCCAAGTTGGACTTGAACTCCTGGGCCTAAGGGATCCTCCCTCCTCAGCCTCCTAAGTAGCCAGGACTACAGGTGTGCTCTACCATGCCCAGCTCTGAAGTATAGTTTTAAAAAAACCCTGTTTAATACAGTTTTTAGTATTAAGTGAAGTTATTCTATTTCTTTGAAAATTTTGGTAAATATTACAGTATTTTAGTAGGTAAACTCTTCTTTTTACCATATTGGATATCTGAATTTTATGCTTTTCTTCACAAAGAAAATTATGAGTTTAAAATCATCCTTTTGATTGTAAACTTTTTGAGACTTATCTTTGTAGCACAAGAGTAGCAAGTAACAGAACTTAGTAAATACTTTGCAAATGGGTAATGTGAAATCTGAACTTGCATAGTAATGAATACAATTCATTCACATTGAAAAATTAGCGGATTAGGAGTAAACTGAATCACTCCTATAGAGCACTATATAATTCTTAACTGATATATTGATTTACATGAGGTGTTTTTATTTATTTTTAATTTGTTAACATTTCTCTTTTGATGTATTAATCTGCATGCATGTATATTATTTAAAATTTCTTAACATTTCTTTTTGTTTGCTATTTTAGGCAAGTTGCTTTGGCAGATATCGTTCTCATTAATAAAACAGACTTGGTTCCAGAAGAAGATGTAAAGAAATTAAGAACAACAATTAGGTACAAAATGATAAGTGTGTTAAGTGCCTACAGATCCATATTGTATACACAGAATATTTTTTACTCTGATTGTTGCCCTGTAGAAACTTAAGGTATAAGGTTGAACTGCTTCAAGAACATTAGAGAATCACATATATTGTTGATGGCTAATTGTTATATAAATGGTAATACATAAAATTAGTCCTCAGTGCTTGCAGAATATAGTTCACAGTTAATAGACTGATATTCAGGGTCTTCGCACTCCATCTTTCTTTTCCTGTCTTCTCTTTGACTCTTTCCTAATGTCAGTCTTCCCTAACTTTACCCAGGATGGTTAATTCACTTTCCCATGGATGCATCCTCTCAGTTCCTGTCTTTACTCATAATGTATTCTCACTCTGCCAATCCCTCAGTTCTTTCTTGTTCTGTTTTTTTTTAATTTATTCTATAGAGCCTATTCTGTCTCTCCCCCCTTCCTATGTGAAGTCTTCCCTGACTCAAGTGGTCTCAGTTTTCCCTGAACTCTTGTTGACTTCATCTTCCTTAACTGTCAACCATGCCTTGTCTTCCAGCTTGCTTTAATATCTTCTTTGTCCATAGCCAAGGCTGATCAGCATAGGACAATCAGGACGATATGAATGATGCTCAAATATGTGCTAACAGTCATTTTGCTGACTGTTCTGGAGACTCCCATTCCTTTTGAAAACAAAGATGGACTTTTCAAATGAAGTTATAGTTCAGGGACTTTGTTTTGAATTATTTTGTAAGACCTGAACTAATAAAAGCCCTATACAGAGAGACATTCGGTAGCTATTATTATTGGTTATCTTTAATGTGTACAATGCTTTGAGTGTGATGGCTCAAAATTACTATTCTTAGTATTTATAAGTTCTACTGACATTAGATTTTGAATCTGTCATCTCAGTTCTTATAGTATATATTATAAATTGAATCAATAAAGGTAAGGCTCATTAGGAGATTATTTGCCATGATTAATGATTGTGGAAGAAAGAAATTCACATTTTTTCCACATATTTCATCTTATTTTAATAGTAATGTCCTTAAACTTTACTATAAAAAAATATAATGTCTCCATGTGGAGGGTAGGTATTGTTGCGTAGTGTTGAAGATCACAGACCTTGGAATCTGCTTGGGTTCTAATCCTTGGTCTGTTTCTCATTGTCTTCTTAGGGAGCTTATTTACCCTTTTAAAGCCTCCTCTGTAAAAGGCATAATGCCTATCATAAGTTTGCTTTGAGTATTACATGAGACAATGTTGGTAAACTTTGCACAGTGCTGACACATATTAAGTGCTCTGTTAGCTATTATTATGTAATTTTTTTCTTAGCTTACATAGTAAGTTCAAGGTATAGTAAAAAAGGGAAGAAAGAAAAAGATGGCTGATTTTGAAAAGGAGAAAGTGATGAATGAAGATTGCTTTTACATTTTTTGACACTGGTCTTCTAATCTTGTTTCCTTCATAAATCTTGTGCACCATTGTGATTGCTAAGAAGAACACAATCTATTTAGCAAACGTTTTTGGCATAAAAGGAATGATAATTATTACTTGACTTTTATATCCTTATAGAGACCTAAGCTAAATCTCTGACACTGACAATATTGACTATTAGCCAGCTTGTTAACAGTACTAGAAATGAATTTGGAAGAAGCAGTTTGATAAATTACACACCCTTTTGGCTTTTACCCTCCCTTTATATCAGACTTGTGACTGACTCAGAATGATATTTGGGGAGGTGAAAAAAGGTAAACATGTTTGAGAGGAATTAGCCATCAGACTAGAGTGTATTCAAAAAAGAAGATTTAAGAATTTTGTAAAATAGTGGAGAGACTTGCCTCAGAATCATTATATGTGGGAAGCCTTACGCATGAGAACAACCTTGAACAAGTAGCAAGAATCTTGGGTAAGTAACCCTAAAGACAATTGAATTCATGATAGAGAATTGATGATTGATGATAGGCAATGGAAAAGATAAATAGATGAGGTGTACAGTGTGCTGAAAAGAATTTAACAGGTACTTTTTGGTGCAATACCAAGCCATATTCTATAGTATCAAAAGAGGGAGAATAGGCATAACAGGTAGAGAGCCTAATTAGGGAACTGAGGAGGTTATTCTATAAAGGAACCTGGGATGTGTGACTTAGAATTACTGTGAATACTAAGGACAGGCTGGGGGCAAAGCAACTTACAACTAGGTTTTTATTTTTAGTGTGTATATAGCCATTTCTACCATGTATGCCTGAGGAAAAAAGTGACCACCGTAAAAATTTTGAGTATCTACTCATTTTTAAGATCACTAGGATAACTGACTATTTATGAATGATTTTTTCTAAAGTGAAGCGTCTTTTTATTAACCACAAAGTAGCCCTTAATCTGACAGTTGTGCGAATTTTTGCATATATGTTTTATTGATGTATGAGTGGAATATATGTGATTTATTGTTTGAAGGAAAATCATAATTATTTTTTAAAGCAAGTTTTGTTTTTCTGTTTTTAATTTTTTTCTGGTTCCAGATGTATTTGGGTATGCTTATTTCCTGTTTTAGAAACAATATACTTTGTATACTTTTTTAAAAAGTTAATTTTTACTTTTAAACTTTGTCTTCCTCATTTATTATTTATTTCAGATCCATAAATGGACTAGGACAAATCTTAGAAACACAAAGATCAAGGTACTTTAAAAAAGCTATTCCTATTAATAACAAATCATTTTAGTTATTAATAATAAACATTAAGTAATTGACAAATATGCTTGATTCTGATATAAGAAAGATCTAAGTGCATTTAAAAAGAATTGGATCCAAAATGTTGTTTGGAATGCTCTTAATAAGTTAGTTTGGCATATTTGACTAGTACATTTGCCTGTCTTCAAAACTAAGATTACAAAGCCATGGTAACACTGTGTAAGTGTTTGCTTAATGAGGAAGAAAAGACTTCCAAACACTCGAGAGGGTAACTCAGTACAGAAATCTGAAGTATATTGAGGAATCTTAATTTGAAGTGTTTAAATGGCTTTTTAATATTTAAAAAGCCTTCTTAGTGTTTTATAGTTGCCAAAAAATACATGGAGTCTTTACCTTGAAGTTCCTGACAAATTCTTTTATTAAATTTTGACTTTCATTTTCTCTAGGTTCTGTTCCTAAAACATCTGTGAAGTGTATTTCTGTAGATTAAATTCTGTTTTCCATTGAATGTTATCTTAATTTCAGAAAATTTCTGTGCAGGGTTATTTTATTAAGCTCATTTTTTTTTTTTTTTTTTTTTTTTTTTGGGGAGAAAGGCTCAGCAGCTGATAGACTCAGCAACAGGCAGCCAGGAGCTCTGAGGCTCACAGCTGGCAGTCTAGTTCCACTCAGTCTCTACTTGAGAAATTCTTTCTTTGGAGGTACAGCAGAGGCCTTAGGTGAGTGGCTTGTCTGCTATGGCAGAGATTAGAGGTGCTGCCAGACTGCCATAAGTGTTAGGCAGTAACAGCAGCAGCTGCTTATATGCATGTGAACAGCTGGGGAATTAATTTGGTATGCATTCTCAGGAGCCACTCATCTGCTGGCAGAGGTAGCCGAAGAATGCCCTTAGTGTAAGTCCTCTACAACCATACACCAAATGTGCTCCCTGCATTTCAAATTCCATTGTAGAAAGTCTCTGATAATCTCACTTATACCATGAGCCATTCCTCAGTATCTGTCCTCTTCCTGTTAGTGTTCTACAATTCCTTTCTCCTTAATTTTTCTCCGCTTTACAAAATGTCACACAGACAAGTGCATAATACTTAAACAAGCTTTTAAAAATAATGCTCATAAATAGCTTTGGTTCTGTCATAATATTTGTATTTATAAACATTTTAAGTCAATTCTCTTCTTTTGTTTTCATTTCAGAAATATCCATGTCCTGAATAAAAGTTGTGTCTTGATTAGTTTATTATGTAACAATTTAGTGTGTTTGACATTTCTAACTTTTATTTCTAACATTTGCTTTATTATAGAACAATAAACATGCAGTGATTGATTTTTCTTACTTCAAGTGGATGAGTGAGCAAGTGACTAAAATCTTCTGTGAATTCTTCAGTGTATGGTTCTTGCCAATGCATCTGAGAATCTAGGGACTTTCTGAAATAGTACTTCCTTGCTATGAGGACTGAAGTTGGATTAGAATCCATTTCAATGAAGATCAGATGTCCTGAGTAGAATTCTTACTATTGGGTCCTGAATCTTACATTAAATATTCTCTCAAATTCCTTGAGGCATAGCAACTTGAGCTTACCAGTTTAGAAACTGGAGATTTGGGCTGGGCGCGGTGGCTCACGCCTGTAATCCCAGCACTTTGGGAGGCCAAGGTGGGCGGATCACGAGGTCAGGAGATGGAGACCATCCTGGCTAACACTGTGAAACCCCATCTCTACTAAAAATACAAAAAATTAGCTGAGCCTGGTGGTGGGCGCCTGTAGTCCCAGCTACTCAGGAGGCTGAGGCAGGAGAATGGCGTGAACCCGGGAGGCGGAGCTTGCAGTGAGCTGAGATCGCACCACTGCACTCCAGCCTGGGTGACAGAGCGAGACTCTGTCTCAAAAAAAAAAAAAAAAAAAAACGGAGATTTGGTTAACAAAATAGTCAAAGTCTCTCTTATAGAAGTTTTGTTTTATTTTTTGTTTTTTAAAATTTTTTACCATTTTGTAGCTGACAAGTACTGACAATAAACTGCTATAAGCATGTGTAGAAAAAGGCTCACCTTGAGTAGTTAAGAGTAAGGAAAAGGAATAGTGTGTAGCATCGTCTTAGTGGTAAGACTTAAGTTGATTTAGTAGCAAATGGAAGTACTAGTGAACCACATAGATTTCAGAAGTAGGAGTAAAAGGTTAGAAGATGTGTCATTTTAATCTTCTCTAGACTTTTTCTTAATTTTTAGAAATGTAAGTGGACTGAACAGAGGAAAACCAAAACACAGCTGGTCAATAATAAGTTAAATTAATTTGACAAACTGCCTGCTATGCATTTCATAGCAATTTAAGGACTATATAAGCAATGGATAAGGCGAAAACTCTGCCTTTAAGGAGATCAGTCATTGGGGGGAAACAGAAGCAAACAAACAAAAAGGCAACATAATAGATATTAATATTAATACAAGAATTTTAAAAGCACAGAGTTCTATAATAATAGGAAAATAGAGGGAATGATTGCTCAACTTTTCTTGAAAAAGAGTCAGGAAAATATTGACCGAGAAGGCAGTCATTGACCTGAGTCTTAAAGAATGAATAAGGTTTTTACAGATGGAGTAGGGTAGGGATAACTTTCCAGGTATAAGGAAGATTTTGTATTCCAGGGACCTTTGAATATTTTAGAATGGCTAGAAAACTTGGTATTATGTAGCACAGAAAAAGTGGTATGACTGAAGAGATAGAGAACTTACCACAAAGGGTCTTGAATGCCATGATACATAGTTTGGATTTTCTTCTGTAGGGAGCAAGGAGTTAGTGAAGGATTTTAAAGGCAACATGACTCTTGGGAGGTAGATTCAATGTGAGGCTAATCTCCGAGGTATAGGAAATACAGGAAGGAGGAGCAACAGGTCGGGTAGTGGTGGAAGCAGGTTTGGAAAATATGAATAGTTTTGTAAACGTTTTTGAGTTTGAATTGCCACTGGGGAAGGCTTTTGGAAATTTATTTCCAGAGTTCAAGACTGAGCTATCATTGCAGTTTGCTCAGCTATTTACTGAGCTATCTACTGTCAATTTGGATAGTATCTACAGTTTGCATTGTAGATACTGGATACTTGGATTGGCTGGTGCACCCTGTTTGTGAGACTCACTGGAGTTTGAAGAGATGACCACTGGAAAATATCCCTAAGCAGTAGCTGCAATTCCACCCCCACCTTGGAGAGCCAAAACCCTCTTCGTTTTCACTCTCCTGTCCTTGGTCTTAAGCTACTTAAAGCAGCCTTTAGACATAGGGAAAAATTGAAAGCCTCTCTTTTAAGAAAAACATTAGGTACTTCTGGAATAGAGAGTTCAAGAAATTAGGAGAAAAATGAACTTTTGAAGCTTTTTCTTTCCCTTTTTTGTTTACTTCATTCTCTTAGTTTTAAAATGCTGGTAATGGTCTTTTTTTTCTTTTTTTTTTTTTCTTGGCGATTTTAATGCTTTGGAAAAGATCTCATGCTTTTATCTCCAAAGGAGGAAATTAATTTGATGCCATGGAAATTAGTTTTCTAGTCGTATGCCTTGAATGAGTGAAGAATTTCTTTTTCATGGTGGTACTAAAATTGGGGAAAGCTATAGAAACTTTCATCTGGAAGCTTACACTTTTCCTCTTTTTTGAAAATTTGGTGAGAGACTTGGATATTTTATTATTTTCTGTAAAAGAGTGTAATTTGTTGTACAGGTCTAATATTGATCCTTTTTTGGAAGTATGGAAAGAATCTGAGTATAAAGCAGAATTACCTCTGGATGGCATGTATTCTCAAGGACACTGTCATAGGGAAACAGTTTATTTAGAAGCTTGTGTTTCCAAACTGTTGAATTTGATATTCACAAAATTGGCATGTGTAAACTTTAAGCTATTTCCTAAGATGAAGATGACAAACTTGGAGGGAAACTTCATTCATTTGGTTTATTTTTATTTTTATTTTTATTTATTTTTATCTTTTTGAGACAGAATCTCACTCTGGTTTGAGACAGAATCTCACTGTGTCCCCCAAGTTGGAGTGCGGTGGTGCGATCTCGGCTCACTGAAACCTCTGCCTCCTGGGTTCAAGCGATTCTCCTGCTTCACCCTCCGAGTAGCTGGGATTACAGGTGTGCACCACCACACCCAGCTAATTTTTGTATTTTTAGTAGAGACGGTTTCGCCACATTGGCCAGGTTGGTGTCAAACTCCTGGCCTCAAAGTGATCCGCCCACCTTGGCCTCCCAAAGTGGAGCCCCCGTGCCCCTTGTTTGTGACCTGTCAATATAAATATGCTCAGTAGTGGGGGGAGGGGTGGGGGGTGAAAAAGGAAATATGTTTAATATTAAGACTTTGGCCTTTTAGTGTAAACTGATATTCAAAAATTTCTTCATAGAACATTTGCTTCTTTGCTTGATCATTTTTCTAATTCTGTACATCTAAAATGCCCAGAATTTGAGTTGCTGTTATAGTCTACTAACATAGAACTTTGGAGTAATAAGATGGGAATTTGTCTCTCTTTTGCCAAGACAAGTATTCGTAATCTAACACAGTATTGTTGCCACGAGTACGAGTATGTGATAGACTGTTGATAATAAAGAAAGCAGGCACAGTTGGTCAGTCCTAAGATAAAGGAGATGTTTTTTCTTATATGTTTGTGCATTAAAGAAAAAAAAAATCTTGAATCTGACCAATGATGTTTTTTTTCCTTGTAATAAAATTTAACAAATGTTTGGCAAGCTTCTGGAATCTAAATTTGAAATTATACATTTGTCATTTTCTTTAAATATTTCTTCACCTTAGCTTTGATTATGAGAAATCACTGTCCTCTGCTGTTCTTTTTTTTTTTTTTCTTTTGAGGCGGAGTCTCACTCTGTGCCAGGCTGGAGTGCAGTGGTGCAATCTCGGCTCACTGCAACCTCCACTTCCTGGGTTCAAATGATTCTCCTGCCGCAGCCTCCCGAGTAGCTGGGACTACAGGTGCATGCCACCACACCCAGCTAATTTTTGTATTTTTGATAGAGACAGGGTTTCACCACATTGTCCATGGCCAGGATGGTCTTGATCTTGACCTTGTGATCCGCCCGCCTCGGCCTCCCAAAGTGCTGGGATTGCAGGCATGAGCCACCGTGCCCGGCCTGTCCTCTGTGGTTTTCTGGGCTTATGTTAAAATTATAACTCAATCACCAGTCTTTATAAATTTGCTTTTTTATATTTAAACCAAACCTAATGCTAATTGTGATATGTTATTTATTCTCACCTGATTTGAATCATTGGATTCAATTAAATGAGTTTAATTATCATTAAATAATTCTAAGAGAAATAATGTCTATTCGGATGGTGGGAATTTTCTTTCTACATGCAGCCCCATTCTGAATGAATGAAATCAAATCACGTGAAGATCAGGGTCCTAGAGTAACCTAATATTTTGTACATTGGTTATTTGACTCCTCATTTTTATATTACATGTTATATCAAGGGAGGGGGTATAAAAAATACAAAAATTGCAGAGGTATCTGGAATGTACCTATTTGTTAATTCTATTTGTCATTTCTTTTGTTTCATCTTTTGAGTAATAAGCTGCTTGGAAAAGTTTCTGTTCTTTAGCTGATTTTTTAGCTATAAAAATGTATTTGAAAAGCTCATAAATTTCAGGATTGAAAAGATAATTGAAAGTTTAAAAAAAACCTAATTCATTGAAGTAATAACCAAATAATTTTCAATCTTGATTCAACTGTGATTCAAATCTTACACCATTTGCCCACTTCTATGAATTTTATGTATAAAATTTTTAAGAGTCAGAGTTTTTTTTTCTTGATTAATTGGATGTATTTCACAGAATTTCCAACTGCTCACGTTAGTTTTCTTCCTTTTAGAGTTGATCTCTCTAATGTATTAGATCTTCATGCCTTTGATAGTCTCTCTGGAATAAGGTATGTTTTGTATAATTTGGTTATTTTATTGTTATGTACCTTTTTTCCCCATAGTTAACAGGAATGATTTGCACAATTGCATTCATGATTTAAGCTTCCTGCCATTCCTTTGGCATACAAGACCATTCTCAATGAGGTATATTCTTGGAAGTTTTACTAATTGGTTGTTTGGAAAACATATTGCATTTTCCTGTAGAAATTATAGTGTAAATGATAGTTAACTTTAGAGGCTAATCGTTAACACTTCTACACCAAACACTATGTCTAATACTCTTTCTATGAGAAAATGCATGAAATACATGGAAAATTTTAGCTTAGCGTTATCACACAAATAACTCTCTTCACTTTATTTTTTTATTTTTTATTTTTTCTTGAGTTTTTTTTTTAATTTATTTATTTATTATTATTATACTTTAAGGTTTAGGGTACATGTGCACAATGTGCAGGTTAGTTACATATGTATACATGTGCCATGCTGGTGGGCTGCACCCACTAACTCGTCATCTAGCATTAGTTATATCTCCCAATGCTATCCCTCCCCCCTCCCCCAAACCCACCACAGTCCCCAGAGTGTGATGTTCCCCTTCCTGTGTCCATGTGTTCTCATTGTTTAATTCCCACCTATGAGTGAGAATATGCGGTGTTTGGTTTTTTGTTCTTGCGATAGTTTACTGAGAATGATGATTTCCAATTTCATCCATGTCACTACAAAGGACATGAACTCATCATTTTTTATGGCTGCATAGTATTCCATGGTGTATATGTGCCACATTTTCTTAATCCAGTCTATCATTGTTGGACATTTGGGTTGGTTCCAAGTCTTTGCTATTGTGAATAATGCCGCAATAAACATACGTGTGCATGTGTCTTTATAGCAGCATGATTTATAGTCCTTTAGGTTATATACCCAGTAATGGGATGGCTGGGTCAAATGGTATTTCTAGTTCTAGATCCCTGAGGAATCGCCACACTGACTTCCACAATGGTTGAACTAGTTTACAGTCCCGCCAACAGTGTAAAAGTGTTCCTATTTCTCCACATCCTCTCCAGCACCTGTTGTTTCCTGACTTTTTAATGATTGCCATTCTAACTGGTGTGAGATAGTATCTCATTGTGGTTTTGATGTGCATTTCTCTGATGGCCAGTGATGGTGAGCATTTTTTCATGTGTTTTTTGGCTGCATAAATGTCTTCTTTTGAGAAATGTCTGTTCATGTCCTTCGCCCACTTTTTGATGGGGTTGTTTGGTTTTTTCTTGTAAATTTGTTTGAGTTCATTGTAGATTCTGGATATTAGCCCTTTGTCAGATGAGTAGGTTGCGAAAATTTTCTCCCATTTTGTAGGTTGCCTGTTCACTCTGATGGTAGTTTCTTTTGCTGTGCAGAAGCTGTTTAGTTTAATTAGATCCCATCTGTCAATTTTGGCTTTTGTTGCCATTGCTTTTGGTGTTTTAGACATGAAGTCCTTGCCCATGCCTATGTCCTGAATGGTAATGCCTAGGTTTTCTTCTAGGGTTTTTATGGTTTTAGGTCGAACGTTTAAGTCTTTAATCCATCTTGAATTGATTTTTGTATAAGGTGTAAGGAAGGGATCCGGTTTCAGCTTTCTACATATGGCTAGCCAGTTTTCCCAGAACCATTTATTAAATACAGAATCCTTTCCCCACTGCTTGTTTTTCTCAGGTTTGTCAAAGATCAGATAGTTGTAGATATGCGGCGTTATTTCTGAGGGCTCTGTTCTGTTCCATTGGTCTCTATCTCTGTTTTGGTACCAGTACCATGCTGTTTTGGTGACTGTAGCCTTGTAGCATAGTTTGAAGTCAGGTAGCGTGATGCCTCCAGCTTTGTTCTTTTGGCTTAGGATTGACTTGGCGATGCGGGCTCTTTTTTGGTTCCATATGAACTTTAAAGTAGTTTTTTCCAATTGCGTGAAGAAAGTCATTGGTAGCTTGATGGGGATGGCATTGAATCTGTAAATTACCTTGGGTAGTATGGCCATTTTCACGATATTGATTCTTCCTACCCATGAGCATGGAATGTTCTTCCATTTGTTTGTATCCTCTTTTATTTCCTTGAGAAGTGGTTTGTAGTTCTCCTTGAAGAGGTCCTTCACATCCCTTGTAAGTTGGATTCCTAGGTATTTTATTCTCTTTGAAGCAATTGTGAATGGGAGTTCACTCATGATTTGGCTCTCTGTTTGTCTGTTGTTGGTGTATAAGAATGCTTGTGATTTTTGTACATTGATTTTGTATCCTGAGACTTTGCTGAAGTTGCTTATCAGCTTAAGGAGATTTTGGGATGAGATGATGGGGTTTTCTAGATATACAATCATGTCATCTGCAAACAGGGACAATTTGACTTCCTCTTTTCCTAATTGAATACCCTTTATTTCCTTCTCCTGCCTAATTGCCCTGGCCAGAACTTCCAACACTATGTTGAATAGGAGTGGTGAGAGAGGGCATCCCTGTCTTGTGCCAGTTTTCAAAGGGAATGCTTCCAGTTTTTGCCCATTTAGTATGATATTGGCTGTGGGTTTGTCATAGATAGCTCTTATTATTTTGAAATACGTCCCATCAATACCTAATTTATTGAGAGTTTTTAGCATGACGGGTTGTTGAATTTTGTCAAAGGCCTTTTCTGCATCTATTGAGATAATCATGTGGTTTTTGTCTTTGGTTCTGTTTATATGCTGGATTACATGTATTGATTTGCATATATTGAACCAGCCTTGCGTCCCAGGGATGAAGCCCACTTGATCATGGTGGATAAGCTTTTTGATGTGCTGCTGGATTCGGTTTGCCAGTATTTTATTGAGGATTTTTGCATCAATGTTCATCAAGGATATTGGTCTAAAATTCTCTTTTTTGGTTGTGTCTCTGCCCGGCTTTGGTATCAGGATGATGCTGGCCTCATCAAATGAGTTAGGGAGGACTCCCTCTTTTTCTATTGATTGGAATAGTTTCAGAAGGAATGGTACCAGTTCCTCCTTGTACCTCTGGTAGAATTCGGCTGTGAATCTATCTGGTCCTGGACTCTTTTTGGTTGGTAAGCTATTGATTATTGCCACAATTTCAGATCCTGTTATTGGTCTATTCAGAGATTCAACTTCTTCCTGGTTTAGTCTTTGGAGGGTGTATGTGTCAAGGAATTTATCCATTTCTTCTAGATTTTCTAGTTTATTTGCATAGAGGTGTTTTTAGTATTCTCTGATGGTAGTTTGTATTTCTGTGGGATCGGTGGTGATATCCCCTTTATCATTTTTTATTGCGTCTATTTGATTCTTCTCTCTTTTTTTCTTTATTAGTCTTGCTAGCAGTCTATCAATTTTGTTGATCCTTTCAAAAAACCAGCTCCTGGATTCATTAATTTTTTGAAGGGTTTTTTGTGTCTCTATTTCCTTCAGTTCTGCTCTGATTTTAGTTATTTCTTGCCTTCTGCTAGCTTTTGAATGTGTTTGCTCTTGCTTTTCTAGTTCTTTTAATTGTGATGTTAGGGTGTCAATTTTGGATCTTTCCTGCTTTCTCTTGTGGGCATTTAGTGCTATAAATTTCCCTCTACACACTGCTTTGAATGTGTCCCAGAGATTCTGGTATGTTGTGTCTTTGTTCTCGTTGGTTTCAAAGAACGTCTTTATTTCTGCCTTCATTTCGTTATGTACCCAGTAGTCATTCAGGAGCAGGTTGTTCAGTTTCCATGTAGTTGAGTGGTTTTGAGTGAGATTCTTAATCCTGAGTTCTAGTTTGATTGTACTGTGGTCTGAGAGATAGTTTGTTATAATTTCTGTTCTTTTACATTTGCTGAGGAGAGCTTTACTTCCAAGTATGTGGTCAATTTTGGAATAGGTGTGGTGTGGTGCTGAAAAAAATGTATATTCTGTTGATTTGGGGTGGAGAGTTCTGTAGATGTCTATTAGGTCTGCTTGGTGCAGAGCTGAGTTCAATTCCTGGGTATCCTTGTTGACTTGCTGTCTCCTTGATCTGTCTAATGTTGACAGTGGGGTGTTAAAGTCTCCCATTATTATTGTGTGGGAGTCTAAGTCTCTTTGTAGGTCACTCAGGACTTGCTTTATGAATCTGGGTGTTCCTGTATTGGGTGCATATATATTTAGGATAGTTAGCTCTTCTTGTTGAATTGATCCCTTTACCATTATGTAATGGCCTTCTTTGTCTCTTTTGATCTTTGTTGGTTGAAAGTCTGTTTTATCAGAGACTAGGATTGCAACCCCTGCCTTTTTTTGTTTTCCATTTGCTTGGTAGATTTTCCTCCATCCCTTTATTTTGAGCCTATGTGTGTCTCTGCACGTGGATGGGTTTCCTGAATACAGCACACTGATGGGTCTTGACTCTTTATCCAATTTGCCAGTCTGTGTCTTTTAATTGGAGCATTTAGTCCATTTACATTTAAAGTTAATATCGTTATGTGTGAATTTGATCCTGTCATTATGATGTTAGCTGGTTATTTTGCTCGTTAGTTGATGCAGTTTCTTCCTAGTCTCGATGGTCTTTACATTTTGGCATGATTTTGCAGCAGCTGGTACCGGTTGTTCCTTTCCATGTTTAGCGCTTCCTTCAGGAGCTCTTTTAGGGCAAGCCTGGTGGTGACAAAATCTCTCAGCATTTGCTTGTCTGTAAAGTATTTTATTTCTCCTTCACTTTTGAAGCTTAGTTTGGCTGGATATGAAATTCTGGGTCGAAAATTCTTTTCTTTAAGAATGTTGAATATTGGCCCCCACTCTCTTCTGGCTTGTAGAGTTTCTGCCAAGAGATCTGCTGTTAGTCTGATGGGCTTCCCTTTGAGGGTAACCCGACCTTTCTCTCTGGCTGCGCTTAACATTTTTCCCTTCATTTCAACTTTGGTGAATCTGACAATTATGTGTCTTAGAGTTGCTCTTCTCGAGGAGTATCTTTGTGGCATTCTCTGTATTTCCTGAATCTGAATGTTGGCCTGCCTTGCTAGATTGGGGAAGTTCTCCTGGATGATATCCTGCAGAGTGTTTTCCAACTTGGTTCCATTCTCCCCGTCAGTTTCAGGTACACCAATCAGACGTAGATTTGGTCTTTTCACATAGTCCCGTATTTCTTGGAGGCTTTGTTTGTTTCTTTTTATTCTTTTTTCTCTAAACTTCCCTTCTTGCTTCATTTCATTCATTTCATCTTCCATCGCTGATACCCTTTCTTCCAGTTGATCGCATCGGCTCCTGAGGCTTCTGCATTCTTCACGTAGTTCTCGAGCCTTGGTTTTCAGCTCCATCAGCTCCTTTAAGCACTTCTCTGTATTGGTTATTCTAGTAATACATTCTTCAAAATTTTTTTCAAAGTTTTCAACTTCTTTGCCTTTGGTTTGAATGTCCTCCCGTAGCTTGGAGTAATTTGATCGTCTGAAGCCTTATTTTCTCAGCTCGTCAAAGTCATTCTCCGTCCAGCTTTGTTCTGTTGTTGGTGAGGAGCTGCGTTTCTTTGGAGGAGGAGAGGCACTGCGTTCCTTTGGAGGAGGAGAGGCGCTCTGCTTTTTAGAGTTTCCAGGTTTTCTGCTCTGTTTTTTCCCCATCTTTGCAGTTTTTATCTACTTTTGGTCTTTGATGATGGTGATGTACAGATGGGTTTTTGGTGTGGATGTCCTTTCTGTTTGTTAGTTTTCCTTCTAACAGACAGGACCTTCAGCTGCAGGTCTGTTGGGTTACCCGGCCGTGTGAGGTGTCAGCCTGCCTCTGCTAGGGGGTGCCTCCCAGTTACCTCCCAGGGGGTGACCTCCCAGGGGGTCAGGGGTCAGGGACCCACTTGAGGAGGCAGTCTGCCCGTTCTCAGATCTCCAGCTGTGTGCTGGGAGAACCACTGCTCTCTTCAAACTGTCAGACAGGGACACTTAAGTCTGCGGAGGTTACTGCTGTCTTTTTGTGTGTCTGTGCCCTGCCCCCAGAGGTGGAGCCTACAGAGGCAGGCAGGCTTCCTTGAGCTGTGGTGGGCTCCACCCAGTTGGAGCTTCCTGGCTGCTTTGTTTACCTAAGCAAGCCTGGGCAATGGCGGGCACCCCTCCCCCAGCCTCGCTGCCACCTTGCAGTTTGATCTCAGGCTGCTTTGCTAGCAATCAGCGAGACTCCGTGGGCGTGGGACCCTCCGAGCCAGGTGTGGGACACAATCTCCTGGTGCGCCGTTTTTCAAGCCCGTCGGAAAAGCGCAGCATTCTGGTGGGAGTGACCCAATCTTCCAGGTGCCGTCTGTCACCCCTTTCTTTGACTAGGAAAGGGAACTCCCTGACCCCCGTGCTTCCCAAGTGAGACAATGCCTCGCCCTGCTTCGGCTCGCGGATGGAGCACGCACCCACTGACCTGCGCCCACTGTCTGGCACTCCCTAGTGAGATGAACCCGGTACCTCAGATGGAAATGGAGAAATCGCCTGTCTTCTGCGTCTCTAACGCTGGGAGCTGTATACCGGAGCTGTTCCTATTCGGCCATCTTGGCTCCTCTCTCCTCTCTTCACTTTAATAATGGATTAGTTTTCTGCCTTCTCCTGTGGGGAATCCTTTTGGTAAGGGAGGGAAGAAAGATTAGTTATTCTTGTGCATCGGTATCTTTTTCTTTTTTTATTGTAGTAAGAACATCTAACATGAGATCTACCCTCTTAACAATTTTTTAAGTGTACAATACAGTATTGCTAACTATAGGCATGAGGATGTGCAGCAGATCTCTGGAACGTTTCACTCTTCATAACTGAAGCTTTATACCCCTTGAATCGCAGTTTCCCATTTCCCTGTCTTCATAGCCCCTGGCATCCACCATTCTACACTCTTTCTATGGGGTTGACTATTTTAATTACCTGACACAAGTGGAATCATGCATTATTTGTCTTTCTGTGACTGGTTTATTTCATGTAGCATAAAGTCATCAAGGTTCATCCATGTTTTTGCATATGGCAAGGTTTCCTTTTTAAATCTGAATAATATTCCATTTTCTACATATACCACATTTACTTTATCCCTTTTTCTGTTAGTGGACATTTAACTTGTTCTCACAGCTTGGCTATTGCAAATAATGCTGCAATGAATATCTCATAAGTCTTGTATATGTCCATACAAGATCATGAAAATGGACATGTCTCTGGGTATTTTGAATTGGTGGGACAATTTTGCTTAAGGGTAGGCTTAGTGGGTGGCTCTACATTTGAGAGTTCTAATTCCCATTCCTATATATATTTCTTTTCTTTTTATTTATTTATTTTTTGAGATGGGGTTCTCTGTCACTCAGGCTGGAGTGCAGTGGCACAAACATGGCTTACTGCAGCCTCAGCCTCCTGGGCTCAAGTGATCCTCCCATCTCAGCCTCCCAAGAAGCTGGGACCACAGGCATGTGTCACCATGCCTGACTAATTTTTTTTTTAATTTTCTGTAAGCATGGGGTCTTGCTATGTTGCCTAGGCTGGTCTCAAACTCCTGGGCTCAAGTGATCCTCATGCCTCAGCCTCCCAAAGTGCTGGGATTACATGTGTAAGCCACCACACCCAGTCTTATATATGTATTTCTAATTTTGCCTTAGCCATGCCCTTAAAAACTAATTATACTTTCAACTAGTTTTTTTTTCCACCTTCAGTCTGTGGTATTGTTCACATTTTGAAAACAATACCTACAGTAACCTGTGAGGTAGGACATGATAGTGTTTTATTGGACCCCTTTTACTTTATGAATTGGAAAAATTAAATTTGCATGTAGTTTGTAAAAAAAAATAAAGAAAAAAGAAATTGATTGAGACTATTTCAGCAGCCAGAAGTGTGGGACAGGCAGGGCAGTTATTCCTCCTTCTCAGTTTGGAAACTGAAGCTCAGAGAGTAAACTTGTCAGTGACACAGTTATTCAAGAAGTTGTCTTCAGTTGAGAGATATGTTTTTCACCTGTAGCTTCTGGTATTGGAGCAGTACCTTTTTAGACTAAACAAATTACAGTTAAAATTATAAAGGTATTTTTGGAGTACCTGGAAAAAATCAGCATTTTGCTTTTCTAGTTCCATTTAGTAGGAAGGCAGGAAAGTTTGGTATACCTGAATTACATGTGAGTTATTTCTATTTTTCTAAAAATTCTTATAAATTGTATAAGGTAAAAATGACTACTTCTTGTTTTATGGTAAATATAGTTATATCCTTTCAAGCCACTGCTGTACAAAGTTGTGAAATCTCCCTGAGCCTTTTTCCCTCATGTCAGCTTCAGGTATCCAGTATCACTTATGCTTGATAATGATTGTATGAAAATCATTCAGAATTATACTATGTTTTTTCATATAAAGCTTTTGTTTTACTAATTTTGAAATAACTGTTCCTCCATTAAGCGAATACAGCCCTAAGCATAAATTTGGTTTGTTCATTTAAAAATGGTCTTTTTTCCCATCTTAGTTCTGGCTTTACTAGGGAGATAGATTGGCTGAGGTTGTCACCTAATTCTGGGAGGTTAAGAGCCTTTGTCTTTTGCTACCCATTTCTGAAATAACCAGAAGTCTAGCCCATCCTAACTTTTCTCTCGATGATCCTTTTCTTCTTTTTACTTCAAGGTTCCAGCCCTTCATTTGACTATCAGTGCTGTTTCACTAGTTAGCCATGATCCCTTTCATCCTCTGTGTCTGGATTAGAACTGTATTTTTAATTTGATGCTGTGGGCAGTTTTGATAGTTACAGATCCTGTGATACATTTAAATGTGTTTACAAGGGGAACAAATGAAACAATGCTGCATGAAATTTGCCTTTCTTTTTTTTTTTTTTCCCCTTGGAGACAGGGTCTGGGTCTATTGCCCAGGCTAGAGTGCAGTGGTGCAATGTCAGCTCCCTATAACCTCTGTGTCCTGGGCTTAAGCCATCTTCCCACCTCAGACTCATGAGTAGCTGGGACTATAGGCACGCACTACCATGCCTGGCTAATTTTTTATTTTGGTAGAAGATGAGGTTTTGCCATGTTGCCGAAGCTGATCTTAAACTCCTGGGCTTAAGTGATCTGCCCACCTCAGCCTCCCAAAGTAATGGGATTATAGGCATGAGCCACCACACTTGGCTTTTTCTTTTTTTATATTTATTTAATTATTTTATTTTATTGAGACAGAGTCTCACTCTGACACCTGGGCTGGAATGCAGTGGCTATCATGGCTCTCTGCAGTCGTGAACTCCTGGACTCAAGTGATCCTCCCATCTCAGCCTCCTGAGTAGCTGGGACTACAGGCTTGCACCCATGCCTGGCTAATTTTTTTATTTTTACTTTTTTGTAGTGACAGGCTCTCGCTACGTTGCTCAGGCTCATCTTGAACTCCTGGCCTCAAGTGATTCTCCTACTTGGTCTCTCAAAGTGCTGGGATTATAAGCCTGAGCCACTGAACCCAGCAAAATTTGCCTTTCTTAAACTAATTTATCTCTGTTGGGTCCAAGAGCTTACAAGTTGGTTGTCATTTAATATGTTAAACACTAGAATATTTTTTAGTTGAAATTTTATTTTTTCCCATTACATATTGTATCCTTTAGTGCTTTATTTCACTAATAAGAATTATAGTATGCAATCATTTCCCACCTCTATATTCAGTATATCAATTTTTGTTTTTCCTTTCTGCTTCTGTCTTTTGCTATAATTTGCTGTAATACAGGTACTTTCATCAAGTCATCCAGTTCTTTATATCATTCTATATTTTTACTTGGGAGAAATAGAAATGTTGCTAATTCCATCTTACTGACAATACCTAAATTATTGTTTGTTATAGAACATAATGATTGGCCGGGCGCTGTGGCTCACGCCTGTAATCCCAGCACTTTGGGAGGCCGAGGCAGGCAGATCACGAGGTCAGGAGATCGAGACCATCCCGGCTAAAACGCTGAAACCCCGTCTCTACTAAAAATACAAAAAAATTAGCCGGGCGTAGTGGCGGGCGCCTGTAGTCCCAGCTACTTGGGAGGCTGAGGCAGGAGAATGGCGTGAACCCGGGAGGCGGAGCTTGCAGTGAGCCGAGATCCCGCCACTGCACTCCAGCCTGGGCGACAGAGCGAGACTCCGTCTCAAAAAAAAAAAAAAAAAAAAAAAAAAGAACATAATGATTTAAATATACAAAACACTAAACTGTTTGAGATTTTTTACATTTTATGCGTGCAGAATTTACATTTTATGTGTGCAGAGACAAAAATTGTTATAAGATTACAAGTTAATGTGCAAGATGATTTCCGATTCATGAGTTTCAGGTTTTGATAGCATATCCTTATCCACTAGATTAGTCTTTTAAAAATGTGTATGATAGGGAAAAAATCGAGGGCATGAAATTCTGAGACTTATGGGAACTAAACTTAAATGTTCGTTGTTAGATTTTTTTTTTTTTTTTTTTTTTTTTTTTTTGCTGCATATGAAGTTTTAGGCAGTCATTGTCCAACAACATTAAATACTGAACATATGGGAAAAGCATATGATTTTTCGAAATGTTTTTCTAAAGTAATCTCATTCTACATACACTTAAGAGCAGTTATAATGCTTTAGTGACACTTGAAGTAGCTTTTTAATGTGATCTCACCACTATAGGGAAGGCCGTTGCATGACTTTTTTGTGTGTGCTTAACTGCTAAACAGGAGAATCTTTTCCTGAGCAACCAGCTGGGAAGGATTTAATTTGACATTCTCCCTACTAGGACCCCCCCAAAGAGACTCATTCCCTCCAATAGTTCCTACAAGTTCTTTCTCTTTCCTAAACTTGCTGTTACTAATTTATCCCTCACTGTTTTCAAGGCAAAGCATCTGCAAGGTTTTAAGTCCTTTCCCCCTCCCGTCCTGTCCCCATCAGTGTTGAAATGTATGCTACAGTTATTATGGTTGTAATTTGTTATGCCATGTTGATCTTCTTGTGCTTTTCATATCAGAACAATGCATTTTTAACATTCTGACTTTCTTTTTCTCTCAATTGGTAACTGACTATATAGAAAATTTATATTTATGGATACTATTTCTTTTTTAATAAGTTCAAGGGAAAACATTGATAAAGGAAAATTTATCCTTTCAACTTTCTTTAGGTGCCAGCATTATTTTCATATTAGGAAGCAGGAGAAAGTTAAGGAACTCTAAGCAATACTAGAATGGTTATATATATATTTAAGTTTGTATTAAACCTGTTGGAATGGTAAAGAAATTTACTGACATATTTAACCATACAAAATAGTGTTGCTAAAAGACTAGTTTTTCTCTTTATTCTGTGCATATGTATATATATGAATGTGTGTGTTTTTTTTAAGAAATTTTAAAAAAACTTAATCTGCCAGCTTTTCTCTATTGGAATTTGCGAACAACTTGTAAAATTGGAATTACAGAATATTAGAATAGTCAGTTATGGAAAGTCACTTCATTATCCTTGTGTCACTAAATAACGTATAAAGTTAAATCAGAAGTGTATTCATCTCTGAATTTCTAATCAGTTGTTTTTAGTTTGCAGAAAAAACTTCAGCATGTGCCAGGAACACAACCTCACCTTGATCAGGTAAAGAAAAAAAATCTAAATCTAAAATTCCTAATCAATGTTTTTAAAGGACCTCTTTAACTAGATAGGCTATGTTTAGGACTATTTTATTATAAACTTTTTCTAAAATGGTATTTTTGAACTGTGTTGATAATTTTTGGAATCTTAAATGCTTTTGACATAGTCTAATTCTATTTCTTAACACATAATAGGAATTCATCAAACCAGATTTGTTTTAGAATCTGAGGAAATCATGCTTTCTAGCTTTTCCATTCTGTAGATTGCTTAGCATATTGGTTAGTTCTGATAGGGATTACTCCTTAAAAGCAGCCTGGGGGTTCTATAGGCAGTCTGTTTTTAAGTATGTTGAATTGTTTAAGGAAAGGTCTGATATAAGCATGGCTTATTTAAATAAAAATTGACTTGGAGTTTCACCTTCAGGTAGCACTATAAATTTGAACTCCTTAAGATGTTTTTCATGCTCTAAAATTCTAATCCCTAAGGTAAATATCTAAGATGCTAGGAACAATTTAAATATAATTTTACTGTACCTGCATTTCTGTTAAGCAGATCATAGATCGTAGAGCTTTAGGATAACTTCTTTGTTCCTCTTAAAACCCTGAGGGGTGGAGTGGGGGATGTGTAAGTGAGCAGTGTGCCTAATCTTCCTTCCTCTCTCTCAAGTGATCACTCAATTTTTGAATTGCTATTGGTTGTAATAGGGCCAAGATAACAGCTACTTGCATTTGTATTCATTTTGGTTCATATTTATGAGCAGGTTTGCTACTATGTTTGTGGCACCTTTCCCTGTGAAACTTTTGTTAATAGGATATTCCTCTTCACTTATCTTTAAAATGAATAAATGAGAGAAATACAAGTCCTTGGAGATAGAATTTATGGTAAAAAAAAAAACCCAGTTCTTTATGATAGTCAGTATCTGTCATATAGTTGAACATGAAGCACATTTGAGCTTCTGGGTAAAGAACGTGATGCCAAGAATCATAGGGATGAAAAGATGAAGAAAACGCAGTACTCACTTACCATGAACATTTGGAGCAGCCAGTGTCTCCATCCATAGAATCTCGAATGAACCCCTATTGTGGCAGTTATGATGCCTTGTAGTTTGGTTGAAATGCTTTTGCCTTGCATTAGTCTATAAATTCCTTAAATATAAAATCTTTATTGCTTAGTACAGGGCTTGGTGGATACTCAGTGAATATTTGTTAAAAGAATGAAAAGCTGTGTTTCTCAAATGGGGTATAAATCAGAATCACATGTGGAGCTTTTTTAAAAAAAATTCGATAACTCAGTAGTTCTCACCCCTCAGTCTCCAAGATTGGGACTTGGGTATGTGTATATTAATGTATATTTTTAACATTTTATTATGGAAGATTTCAAAGATATAAAAGAATAAACAGAATAGTAAAGTAAACTCCTTGTATGCATCACCCAGTTTAAATGGCGTCAACATTTAGCTGATTTTATTTCACCTATCCTCCCAACATTTCTTTTGCCTGGAGTATTTAAAAAAAAATGTATTTTAATAGGAAATTTCAAACGTGCATAAGAGTAGAATAGTATAATGAGCCTGTATGTACCTATTGCCCTTGGTGTAGTGTATTAAAGCAAATTCCAGACATTATGTCACTTTACTACTAAATAGGGCATATCTATATTTTTGTAGCCTCTGTAGGAGATTCTGATGCACTGTCCTGCTTTAGATAATATAAACATAGGGAAAAATAGTATCACAGCCAAAGGGCTATGGGATTCAGAGGCATGAACAATTTCATTTGGTTTAGTGGATCTGAGGTGTATGGGAGGAAATTTATCTTTTCCTCGCCTATCTCTAGATTCATGGCTGAGGTCTCTCTAACAGAAGACCAACTATCAAGAGAAATTTCAACATAGAAATTTATTTAGTAAGTTTTACTTGACACAGGAGCCTTCATAAAACATACCTGTGTATGTTTTCTGTTAGTTATGATATGGAAGAGGATAGTAATGGAGAAGCATAATTAGATAAAACAGTATGATCTAATAATAAACTGGGAAGAACTTAGCAAGGCCTGTTTGCTCAGATTTTTCTCTGTGACCCTTCATATTCAGACTTAAGGATGTTCTTTTCCTCTGTGTATAGAGAGGGCACCTCTTAAATGAGGGTCTTATGACCTGCATCAGCGGAAGGTCAGAAAATCTTTCCTAGGTTTTATGACCTGCTTCAGGAGAGAAGGTGAGAGTGACCTTCCTGATTCTGCCATTTTCTCAAATATTGAGTTGCCATATTTTGGGATAGCATGTCCTGAACCCCATCAAATGCTTCATGAGGATAGTTTTTCATTTGTTTCTTTTGGTTTTGGTTTATTTATTTGCATACAGTAAAGCATGCAAATGTGTAATTTTAGTGTACAATTCAATGTTTGGGTTTTGTTTTTGTTTTGGTTTTTTTGTTTTTTTTTGAGACGGAGTCTCGCTCCGGCTAGAGTCTCACCCAGGCTGGAGTGCAGTGGTGTGACCTTGGCTCACTGCAACTTCCTCCTTCTAGATTCAAGTGATTCTCATGCCTCAGCCTCCTGAGTAGCTGGGATTACAGGCATGTACCACCATGCCTAGCTAATTTTTTTTTTTTTTTTTTTTTAGTAGAGATGGGGTTTCACCATGTTGGCCAAGCTGGTCTCAAACTCCTGACTTCAGGTGATCCACCTGCTTCGGCCTCCCAAAGTGCTGGGATTACAGGCGTGAGCCACTGTGCCCGGCCTCAATGTATTTTTACATATATTTGTACCTATATATCTGTCTATATGCACATTCAAACACATATCCTTCTAACTCCCACTCAGGTCAAGATACAAAAGATATCCAAAATTGTAAAGAGTTCCTTTTTGCCCCTTCCTAGTCAAAGAAGGGGTAAGTGCTATTCTGACTTACTTAACAAAAAATAACCTTGAACTGGTAGGATTTTTTTTGACGGTAGGATTTTTTTTGACGGGAAGAAGTAAGGAAAAGAGCAATACTGATGTTTAAAAATGAGAAGGTGAGAATCTTATAGATGAGTAGGTCTCTGGTACAGAAGTCTTAGTGGAGAGTTGGTACTGGAATCCTGGTCTAAGGTATTAGGTTTTAATTTGCTAGACAAAGAGAACTCAAGCAGTGCTGTCTAGGAGTGTTATGTAAGCTAGATTGGACTTTAGAGTCAGGAGACCATGCGGGAAGATACTGTGTGATAAGGGCCTGAAACATGTTGGTTACAGTGAGACTAGAAATGGGATAAATCCAGAGCTGTTTCACCAGTAGACTTGCCTGAATATCCTGTCTGACTGATTATGGATCAGAAAGAAAAGAAGGGGTGATGGGAAACAAGCCTAGATTGACTAGAGAAACCTAGACATAGAAAAATCGGGAAGGCAAAGTGATTTGGATGATAATGCCATATATTCAGTTGTCCCTGGTGGCCAGATATTATAGTATAGATATTATACAGGCAAAGAAGAACAGAGGGATAGAGTGTGAAGGTACAGATTTTGAGTTTAAGCACATTAGGGGGCTTAGTGTTCTGGATGAAGAAAACATATAAAAGTTATTGTATGTTAGGTATTGTTTGCAAAAGAGTAGAAAATGGAGAAATAACCCAGTGGGTTAAAGAAGAAACAGACTAAATAAACAAACCTGAGTAAGTTGTTCCTAAATTTTATTTTAGAGGCAATTCCTCATTTTGCTTCAGTTTTCTCAATTATTGCCTCACTTTTCTGTTTCTTTCTGTGTCAGCATACATGGAAAAAGGAGTTAATTTTAGATTCAAAACAAAAACTGGAAAAAAAAAGTCTGAAATGGGTAATACCTAGGACCTAGTATATATGTGTTATTAAGGCTCTATCCCTGAATTTTTAATGTAGTTATCTATTTTTCATGGATTCTTTGTTTATTCCCCATAAGGAACACCTGGGTTTGGAGAATGGGAAGGTAGATGAGAAAACCCAAGTGACAAATAATGTTTAGTTTATTATTAGAACCAACTATGAGTTGTGACCCTTATCTTCTGCACTGGGAATTACAGATTTTTTCAGGGTTTTTCTAACGTGAAAAGAGTTTATTGGTGTAGGAAAACATCTGGTTCCAAAATATAGATCATCCTTCTTGAGCCCCATGATGCGTTATCTTAATTTTTAAAGCCTTTTGTGTCTCATACTGGAGTTTATTGTACCCCTTAAAAATATTAAGTCACATATTTAACCTGATAAAAGCAAAAATCATTATAAAAATCTTTAGGCTGGGTGTGGTGGCTTATGCTTGTAATCCTAGCGCTTTGACAGGCCAAGGTGGGTGGATTGCTTAAAACCCAGGAGTTGTAGACCAGCCTGGGCAACATGGTGAAACCCCATTTCTGCAAAAAAAATACAAAAATTTAGCCAGGTATGGTGGCATGTACCTGTAATCCCAGCTACTCGAGAGGCTGAAGTGGGAGGATTGCTTTAGCTTGGGAGTTCAAAGCTACAGTAAGCCATGATTGTGCCACTCTACTCCAGCCTGGGCAACAGAGTGAGACCCCATCTCAAAAAAATTTATTCAGTTAAAATCTTTAACAATAAAGCAATTTTGAGTCGTATTTTGTGACATTCTCAATATAGTTTTCCAACTTGCATTAAAATACATTTTAAACATTTTTGAAGACTAAATTAATTTTTTAACTGACATTTATGTTTCATTTGACAACCTTTTGCTGTATATTTTATGTGGACTTTTAGGTATTGTAGTGATTCCTTTAATGAAGAAATAAAATAATTGTCATTTAAAAATGCATATTATTATTACCTTATGCTATAAAAATAGTTTTAAAATAGAGTATGTTTATTAAGATTTAAAAATAAGTATAGTCATGCACTGCATAACAGCGTTTTAGTCAGACTGCATAAGATTACAATGGAGCTGAAAAATTACTGTCACACAAATACTTACCATTGTGTTATTATTTCCATACACTGTTCAGTACAGTAACATATATGCTGTACAGGTTTGTAGCCTAGGAGCAACAGGCTATACAGCATAGCTTAGGTGTGTAGTAGGTTATACCATCTAGGTTTGTGTAAGTACACTATCATGTTTGTATAACAACAAAATTGCCCAACAGCTCATTTCTCTTTATGTATCCATGACTGTATATTTTTTATTGTGGTAAAAAACACTTAACGTGAGACCTACCTTCTTCCACAAATTTTTAAGGGTACAATATAGTATTGTTAACTGTATGTACATTGTTATATAGCAGATCTCTAGAACTTTTCATCTTGCATGACTAAAATTATACCCATTGAACAGCACCTCCCAATTTTCGTCTCCCTCTAACCCCTGGTAACCACCATTTTACTTTCTGATTTGATGAGTTTTACTGTTTTAGACACCTGATATTAGTGGATTCATGCAATATTTGTCCTTCTGTGACTGGCTTATTTCATTTAGTGTAATGTCCTCAAGATTCATCCATGTTGTAGTATATGACAGGATTTTTTTAAGGATACATAATATTTGGTTGTATGTATATTACCACATTTATTTTATCCATTCAACTGTCCTGGACATTTAGGTGGTTGTTAGTGTCTTGACTGCTGTGACAAAATAAGTACTTTTAAAAGTCTCACATTTGCAAGTTCAATTTGAACCTTTTTTTAGTCTGCTTGCACTTCTCTTATCAAGCAAGAAAGCACTTTTCTGCTTTTTCTATTACTAGTAACAGTGGAGATTAAATATCTCATGTTTTTGGGCGTTCTAGAGCCCAACACATCACCTGTTCCTTTCCATACTACCACAACTGACACTCTCTGGAAAGTGCCACCTCCCTGCAGCAGGCCAACCAGCACAAAAATAGTACATTAAACCAGCAAAGCTAAGAACCCTCAAAGAGTACATTTCACCCTCCTACCACCTCCACTGGAACAGGTGCTGGTATCCACAGCTGAGAGACCCACAGATGGTTCACATCTCCCGACTCTGTGCAGACTACCCCCCAGTACCAGCCTGGAGTCGGGTAGACCTGCTGGGTGGCTAGATCCAGAAGAGAGATAGCAATCACTACAGCTCAGCTCTCAGGAAGCCACATCCATAGGAAAAGGGAGAGAGTACTACATCAAGGGAACACCCCATAGGATGAAAGAATCTGAACAACAACCTTCAGCCCTAGACCTTCTCTCTGACAGAGCCTACCCAAATGAGAAGGAAACAGAAAACCGACCCTGGTAGTATGACAAAACAAGGTTCTTTAACACCCCCCAAAAAATCACACTAGCTCACCAGCAATGGATCCAAACTAAGAAGAAATCCCTGACTTACTTGAAAAAGAATTC